>NW_012132915.1:160415-320830 GCF_000001405.40 Homo sapiens
TTGACCTCAAAGTCACCTTCTTTACTATCCCCTTGTATCCCTCCTCTCAGCCTCTTTTTGCCTTTACTTGGACTGACCGTGACACCCACCAATCCCAACAACTCACCTGGACTGTTCTGCCCCAAGGCTTCAGGAACAGCCCACACTACTTTGGCCAGGCCCTTTCTCATGATCTGCTTTCTTTTCACCTGTCTGCCTCCCACCTTATTCAATATTTTGATGATCTTCTTCTTTGCAGTCCCTCTTACCAATCTTCCCAGCAGGACACTACCCTGCTTCTTCAACATCTCTATTTAAAGGGGTACCGAGTATCCCCCTCCAAGGCACAAATTTCTTCCCCTAGTGTTACCTATCTCGGTATAATCCTCCATCAGCATACACATGCCCTTCCTGCAGACTGTGCTCAGTTAATCTCCCAGACCCGAATCCCCACCACAAAACAACAACTCCTTTCCTTCTTAGGCATTGTTGGATATTTCCGACTCTGGATACCAGGCTTTGCTATCCTAACAAAACCACTTTACAAGCTCACAAAAGGTAACTTAACTGATCCCATAGACCCTAAGTTTTTTGCCCATTGTTCTTTTTGCTCTCTCAAAAAGGCCCTGGAGACAGCTCCCACACTAGCACTCCCCAACTCGTCCCATGCTTTTTCCTTACACACAGCTGAAATACAAGGCTGCGCTGCTGGAGTCCTCACACAGGAGCCAGGCCCATGACCTGTTGCCTTTCTATCAAAACAACTTGACCTCACAATTCTGGTGCAGCCCTCATATTTGCGTGCAGCAGCAGCTGCTGCTGTAATACTTCTGGAAGCCCTCAAAATCACAAGCTATGCTCCACTTACCCTCTACAGTTCTCACAACCTTCAAGCATTAATATCCTCCTCACACCTTTCACACTTACTGTCTGCCCCTCGACTCCTCCAGCTCTATTCATCTTTTATTGAAACCCCAACAGTAACTATTGGCCATGGGCACGATTTCAACCCAGCTTCTCAGTTAGTAACCAACACAAGTCCTGAACCACGTGACTGCATTTCCCTAATACACATAGGATCTTCCTCCTTTCCTCGTATTTCTATTCTTCGAATTCAAAATCCAGACCACCCAATCAATTTTCACCAGGTAAGCTGGATATGCTGTCATGTCCCACATCTCTATTATTGAAACTGCTGCACTTCCTCCCTCCACCACTTCCCAACAAGCCAAACTGATTGCTTTAACTCATGTGCTCTCTCTCGCTAAGGGAATGCACATTAACATTTATACTGACTCCAAATATGCTTTCCACATCTTCCATAACCATGCTGCCATCTGGGCTAAAAGAGGCTTCCTTACCACACAAACCTCTTCCATTATCTATGCCTCCCTAATAAAGGTCCTCCTTAAGGCTGCTCTCCTGCTGGCCAAGCCTGGAGTCATTCATTGTAAAGGACACCAGAAACCTACTCATCTTATTGCAAAAGGAAATGCCTATGCCGACAGGACAGCAAAAGAAATAGCCAATGCCTCCACACCCGCTAATATTCCAGCTCCCACTCCAGAGGACCAGTATTTTTCTTCCTTATCTATCACTACCACCTACTCTTTTGAAAGCCTGCTCTACTAGTCTTTTCCAACTCAGGGAAAGTGCTTCTTAAATCATGGAAAATTCATTCTTCCTGCCTCACAAGCTCAGTCCATGCTTTCTTTCCTTCATGACCACTTCCATGTGGGATACAAGCCTCTGGCTCGCCTCCTGCAGCCCCTCATCTCCTTCTCTTCATGGAAATCCATCCTTAAGACAGTCACCTCTCAATGCTCGTCTACCATGCCACCAGCCCCCAAGGCTTTCTCAGCCCTCCTCCTTTTCCTACGCATCAGGCTCATGGATTTACTCCAACACAAGATTGGCAGATTGACTTCACTCATATGCCCCATATCTGTAAATTTAAATATCTCCTGGTTTGGATTGACACCTTCACTGGGTGGGTTGAGGCATTTCCCACTATCTCTGAAAAGGCTACTGCAGTCATTTCTTCCCTTCTAACAGACATAATTCCCTGATTTGGCCTCCCTACTTCTATTCAATCTGACAATGGTTTGGCTTTTATTAGTCAAATCCTCCAAGCTGTCTCTCAAGCTCTTGATATTCAGTGGAAACTTCATACCCCCTACCATCCTCAGTCTTCAGGAAAGGTAGAAAGGAGTAATGGTCTTTTAAAAACACACCTCACCAAGCTCAGCTTCCAACTTAAAAGGGACTGGACAGTATTTCTACCACTTGCCCTTCTCAGAAGTAGAGCCTGACTTCAAGATGCTACAGGGTACAGTCCATTTCAACTTTTATATGGACTTACTTTCTTGCTTGGCCCCAACCTTGTTCCAGACACCAGCCCTCTGGACAACTATCTTCCAGTCCTCCAGCAGGCTAGACAGGAAATTCGCCCGACTGCTAATCTTCTCTTTCCTACTCCAGATTCCCAGCCATATGAAGACACCCTAGCTGAATGATCAGTTCTTGTTAAGAGTCTGAGCCCTCAAACTCTACAGCCTCGATGGACTGGACCCTACCTAGTCATCTATAGCACCCCAACTGCTGTCCATCTGCAGGACCCTCCCCATTGGGTTCACCATTCCAGAATAAAGCTGTGTCCATTGGACAGCAAGCCTGATCTCTCCTCTTCCTCCTGGAAGTTGCAAGTACTCTCCACTACTTCCCTTAAACTCACTCACATTTCTGAAAACAGTAATAACCCTTATGAACCTAATATGTTCCTTCATTCTATTAGGTCTATTCATCCTTACTCTACTTTTTGCAACAGGGCTTTACACAGTCACCCCCACTACTTGGACTGTGCCCCAAAACTTGTCATCCCTACTATCTTCTGTCTAGTCATACTCCTATTCACCATTCTCAACTACTCATAAATGCCCTGCTCTTGTTTATACTGCTGGTTTACACTGTTTCTCCAAACCATCACAGCTGATATCTCCTGGCCCTATTGCCAAACCACCACTCTTGACTTCCTCTTGGAGTGGATAGATGATCTTTGCTGGCAGGGCACACTCCAATATTTTCACCATGATGAAGTCCTATTCTTTATTTTTATACTCACTCTTATTCTCATTCCCATTCTTATGCCACCCTCTCCCTCTCCCCAACTATCTCCACTACACTATCAGTCTCACTCACTCTCTCCAAGCCATTTCTAATCCCTCCTTAGCGAACAATTGCTGGCTTTGCATTTCCCTTTCTTCCTGCGCTTACAAAGCTGTCCCTGCCTTACATACCTACTGGGCAACATCTCCTGTCTCCGTACATCTCCGAACTTCCTTTAACAGCCCTCACCTTTACCCTCCTGAAGAACTTCTTTACTTTCTAGACAGGTCCAGCAAGACCTCCCCAGACATTTCACATCAGAAAGCTGCTGCCCTTCTTCGCACTTACTTAAAAAACCTTTCTCCTTATATCAACTCTACTCCCCCCATATTTAGACCCCTCACAACACAAGCTGCTATTCCTGTGGCTGCTCCTTTATGTATCTCTCGGCAAAGACCCACTGGAATTCCCCTGGGTAACCTTGCATCTTCTCGATGTTCCTTCACTCTTGATCTCCAAAGCCCAGCTACACATACCACTGAAACAATTGTGGCTTTCCAGCTCCATATTACAGATAAGCCCTCTATCAGTACTGACAAACTTAAAAACATTAGCAGTTATTATTGCTTAGGAAGACATTACCCTGTATTTCACTCCATCCTTTGCTGCCTTCCCCTTGCTCTTCAGACTCTCCTCCCAGGCCCTCTTCTTGTTTGCTTATACCCAGCCCCGTAAATAACAGTGAAAGGTTGCTCATAGACACTCGACACTTTCTCTTACACCATGAAAATCGAACCTTCCCCTCTATGCGGTTACCCCATCAGTCCCCATTACAACCTCTGATGGCTGCCGCGCTAGCTGGATCCCTAGGAGTCTGGGTACAATACACCTCTTTTAGTACTCCTTCTCATCTTTTCACTTTGCAGCTCCGGTATTGCCTTGCACAAGGTCTCTTCTTCCTCTGTGGATTCTCTACCTACATGTGTCTATCTGCTAATTGGACAGGCACATGCACACTAGTTTTCCTAAGTCCCTAGATTCAATTTGCAAATGGGACCAAACAGCTTCCTGTTCCCCTCATGAAACCGACACGATAAAAAAGTGTTATTCCACTAATTCCCTTACTTGTCAGTTTAGGAATTTCTGCCTCCACTATTGCTCTCGGAACTGGAATAGCAGGCATTTCAACCTCTGTCACAACCTTCCTTAGCCTTTCTAATGACTTCTCTGCTAGCATCACAGACATATCACAAACTTTATCAGTCGTCCAGGCCCAGGTTGAATCTTTAGCTGTGGTTGTCCTCCAAAACTGCCAAGGCCTCGACTTACTGCTGAAAAAGGAGGACTCTGTGTATTTTTAAATGAAGAGTATTGTTTTTACCTAAATCAATCTGGCCTGGTATATGACAACATAAAAAAACTCAAGGATAGAGCCCAAAAACTCACCAACCAAGCAAATAATTATGCTGAACCTCCTTGGGCACTCTCTAATTGGATGTCCTGGGTCCTCCCAATTCTTAGTCCTTTAATACCTGTTTTTCTCCTTCTCTTATTCAGACCTTGTGTCTTCCGTTTAGTTTCTCAATTCATACAAAACCGCATCCAGACCATCACCAATCATTCTATATGGCAAATGCTCCTTATAACAACCCCACAATACCACCCTTTACCCGAAAATCTTTCTTCAGTTTAATATCTTCTACACTATGTTCCCATGCCACCCCTAATCCCACTCGAAGCAGCCCTGAGAAACAATGCCCATTCTCTCTCCATACCACCACCAAAAATTTTTGCCACCCCAACACTTCACCAGTATTTTGTTTTTTCTTATTAATATAAGAAGATAGGAATGTCAGGTCTCTGAGCCCAAGTTAAGCCATCATATCCCCTGTGACCTGCATGTATGCATCCAGATGACCTGAAGCAACTGAAGAACAACAAAAGAAGTGAAAATAGCCAGTTCCTGCCTTAACCGATGATATTCCACCATTGTGATTTGTTCCTGCCCCACCCTAACTGATCAATTAACCTTGTGACATTCCTTCTCCTGGAAAATGAATCTCAGGAGCTCCCCCACAAAGCACCTTGTGACCCCTGACCCTGCCCACAAGAGAACAACCCCCTTTAACTGTAATTTTCCACTACCCTACCCAAATCCTATAAAACTGCCCCACCACTATCTCCCTTTGCTGACTCCTTATTCGGACTCAGTCAGCCTGCACACAGGTGATTAAAAAGCTTTATTGTTCACACAAAGCCTGCTTGGTTGTCTCTTCACACACACATGTGTGACAGATTACAGCCCTACTGACACCTTAACATTAGCTCAGTGAGACTTCTGACACGGGGTACTATATTTTATTTGTGTGAAGCCAATAAGACTGTGGTGATTTAAACAGCAGCATTGGAAACTAATGCAAGGGGAAGAGATGTCTTTCACCTCACTGAGAGCATGGTTGTCCTCTGTTCTTGGAAATATTTCCACCTTGTTATCTGGTGTCAATTATGACATATTTTCTAGTATTTAAAGAAAAGATCTGCTGCCCTAAAATCCTATGTCCAGTAAAATTATTATTTAGAAATGAAGGACAAATTGAGAAGTCCTCAGTTGTAGAAAAACTAAGAGTATTTGCTGCCAGCAGATCCACTTTAAACATAGGCAAAATGAGCCCTAGGAAGATAAAACTAAAGATAAAGAGAGGATGTTAAATAATGTTAGGGACAAAAGGCTACAAAAATGAGAAGATAGATGGATATAATGCATTGCTAAATCATGTGTGATAGTTGTATCAAAGTTGTAATACTGTTTTGTTCCTAATATATGCAGATAAATTACTTTTAAAAAACAATCTATTTACAATGGGGGAGGAAACATGACATAAAAAAGGTAAAATTCTATATTTATTTTAAATGGTAATATATTGATGCCAACATACTGTGAGAAGCTATGCATATAAAGGAAATACCATGACAACCAATTTGAAAATCATTATAAAAAGAGATACCCCAAAATTAGGTAAAATTAAAATGAAATTGTGAAGATGTTCAAGTAACCCAAAAGAAGGCAGCAAAAAGAAAACAGAGAAGCAAAAAAAGATATAGCAAAAAAGTAGAGTGCAGACTTAAATTTTAATATATCAATATCAATATATTAAATATGCAAATTATGAAACTTTGAAAAAGACAACAATTGATGAATAAAAAGAAATGTCCCAACTGTATGTT
The DNA here is from genome assembly GCF_000001405.40 of Homo sapiens. Lineage (NCBI taxonomy): Eukaryota > Metazoa > Chordata > Mammalia > Primates > Hominidae > Homo > Homo sapiens. The sequence goes on from NW_012132915.1 coordinate 166,725, forward strand.
ATCTACAAGACACTCACATCAAATATAACAGTATAAGTAGATTGAATATAAAAGGAAGGAAAATGGTATACTATGCAAACATTAATAAAAAGAATCAGTAGCAAATACTAATATCAGATAAAGTAGACTACAGAGCCAAAGAATGTTACCAGGGGCAGAAAGGTACATTACATAATGAAGAAAGTCATTTTGGAAAGAAGACAGAGCAGTTCTAAGTGCGTAGACACCAAGCAACAGAGCGATATAGTGCATGTGGCAGAAACTAACAAAACAATTGCACACAGAGACTTCAAAAACCCCTTTTTAATCTTCGATAGGACAACTGGACAGAAAATCAGCAAGGATTTAGGACTCAACAATATCATCAACCCACGAGATCTAACTGACATTTATAGAACACTCCAACCCATAACAATAGAAGTTCACATTTTTTTCTTCCAAGTGCCCACAACATATACCAAGATAGGACATATCCTGCCCACATAACCTCTCAACATATTTGCAATAATTAAAATCACAGTGAATGTGTTCTCTGACCATGGAGGGATCAAACTAGAAATCAATATTGAAAATGTAACCCCCAAATTTTCAAATATATGGGAACTATACAATATTGTTCTTTCCAAAGAACCAGCCTTTGGCTTGCCTGGTGTTCAGTGTCACTTTTTCTGTTTGCAGTTTTATTGATTTCTGCCCTAATATTTATTATTTATTTTGCTCATGTTCTACTTCAGATATAAATTGCTCCTCTTTATGTAGTTTCATAAGGTGGAAGCTGAGATTATTGGTTTTATCCCTTTTATTTTCTGAAAAATACTCATATGCATATGTTTATCTACGTGCATACACATGCATAAATATGTGCAGATGCATATGCATACACGTGGTTTTAATACCATAAATTACCCTGTAAGTGCTGCTGAATACCTATGCGTATTTTCTTTTCTCTGAGCTCAAACTCCACTCACTTGCAAACCTGCCCACTTAATCTGCATGTTCATTGGTGTCTCAATCTAGAATTGAGCAAAAATAACAAACTCCTTTCATTTTATCTCAACTTTCTTGACCGCTAATACATTTAACATCAGTAAGTCAGAATCTATCTAATAGATTAAGGCCAAAGCTGCCAGGTCACTCCTAATCTGACTCTTCTCACACCAAGGAGTGTAAATGACATTGATTTAAAAATATGGTATCATCTGCCTATGTCTCCAACAATCTTCACTGCCCCAAAACTAGTTTATGCCAGGATCCACTTTGCCCAGATAAGCATCTCTTCTGCTTCTCACAGCCCAATTCGAGTCATTACTTTGCTAAAAAATAAATATGACCATGGGGGTACTTTGGTTAAAAAAATTCCCAGAATGTCCTGCTGTACTTACAAAGCATTTGCTCCCCAAACAGAAAATGAAGGCCTTATTAATTTCACATCAGTCACATGTGGTGATCTTTAAGACACTGAGAGAAAATGGCTCTGACCTGCCCCCTCACGAACTTTCTCTTTTTTACCTCGGTTGGTTAAGTCACTCTCCTCATAGTGCCTTTCTCTGTCCTTCACACGTTCATACTGTATTCCTTCTAAGCGCCTTGATTGTCATGAACCTCAGTGCCCTTCAGAAACTTCTCTTCAGGTCAGTTGTTCTCCTCATCCAGGTCAGTCACCTCCTCAGAAAAAGTAGCCTCTACCTCCCTAACTAACTGACTCCTTTTCCTCATTAACCACTTCCTCTTCCCTTGCCATTTTTTTCCTTTATGACCCTTAACTTTTTCTAGAATCTTTTTGTTGATTTATGTTTAATTAGACATGGCCTTTTTTTCACCAGAAAAGATATAGGTAAATGAGAGTCAGACACTGACTTTCTCAGGGGTGCAGCCTAGATACGTTCCTGGTCCAGCATAGTTGCTCAATTAACACTTTATTGAATGAATGAATAATGAAAAGTTAGTAAGAAACTCTCCAAGACATAATCAACACTCATAACCTATACACGTTGAAAACAACCCACTGAATGTAAAACATGGATTATTCTGAGTAATGAGAAGTTTGAATAGCAGTGTGCTGCTCTTCATAGTCAGCTCTTCATAGTCAGTGTGCTGCTCTTCATAGTTTGTATTTTGCTGGGGAGATAAGGAAGACATCCAAAGTCCATGATAATCAGGTAAGAGTATTCTTATCTTTTTTAAAAAACAAGCAAATAGACTTTGCAGTCACAAAAAAATTGCAATAAATGGGACTACACTATCACTTAACTCTATTGGCTCCTGTTCACAAAAACAGGTTGTATTATTAACTCTTCTTTGAAAACAAACCAGCTCCAAACAAAATGCCATAAAATGAGTATGTGCAGTCCTCCCTCAGTATCCATGGGAAATAGTTTCCAGGGCACCCTGCAGATATTCCAATTTTTGGAGACTCAAAACCTTTATGTAAAATGCACAATATTTGCATATAACCTACACATATCCTCCCGTACATTTCACACCATCTCTAGCCTCCTTATAGTACCTAGTACGATGTCTACACATGACTTAACTTGTGTAGATTCATCCAAGTGTTACTCAGCACATGGCAAAGTCAAGCTTTGCTTTTTGGAATTTTGTGGATTTTTTTTTCAAAATATTTTTGATCCAGGATTAGTTGAATCCATGGATGCAGTTCCCATGGATAGAGAGCTGACTGTACAGCTCCTTATAATTCTGAGGGTCAGCTCTGTGGTTCTTCCATTCTGGGCTGGCTGGACTGATCTCTGCTGAGTCCGCTCTTGTGTCTGCAGTTACCCTGTGGTTCATTTGCGACTGGATGGTCTGATGTGACTTCTTTAACCTATCTGGAAGCTGGTTTGATGTGCAGGTTGGACAACTTTTGGTATCGGTTTACATGGGTCAGGAAGATGGGTCCTATTCCCCAATCTGTATTAGGTTTGTTCCCAGATCAACTCTGGGGTTCAAGTCTATTCATTGTGGGTTGTTTGGGAGAAATTCTACATGAACAAAGCTGAACTGCTGTCATTTATTGCTGTTAGCAGTTATTGTTATCCTCTGAAATGCATCTTATATAACCAAGATCTCCCCAGGGTGGCCCAACAGTACAGCTCAGCTCAGCCCATCCTGTCACTTCGCTGGATGACTGCAGGTGTGAGAAAGGCAATATGCTCAGTCACAGGAAAGGCAGGGGCCCACCCTGGGGCTGAAACCTGCAGACACAGCGTTCACACAGCTTCTTTGCAAAATACGAAGACTTCATTTTCTTTATACTTAAGATAGTTATACATTTTTTTCTATAATGTCCCTATGCTATTTAACTATTTTTAATTTTCAGAACTGGTTGTATTTATTATTTCTGTGTTAGGTGCTCTTAGTCACTTATGGCAAGAGTGAGTTAATAGAGACAACATACAGAGTAGCCATGGAACAATAGAGAAGTGTGTGTATTCAGACAGGATAAAGATCAAAGGGGTGACAAATACATTCTTTTGAGAAGCAGATTCTCATAGATCACCACAAGTCAAGGTCCACATTCAAGGTGCAGTGGCGTGTCAGTCACATTGTGCAAATGGTCAGCTCTGCACATTAAACTTGGCTAGCACATTGCAGGACCAAAATTACCTGTAAAGGTATGGGGAAAATAAACCATCATGGAAATAACAATTTGAAGGAGTTCTCAATTATTTATACTTGGATATAAAGCAGAACGCTACAATGAATGAACCTACAACCTAAAACCTTTAAGCCTTTTAAAGAGGTTTCTTTTTGTCAGGGTATTTCTCAGCAAATAATGATAAAAAATTTATGGATAAACTACTTGCACAATTAGCCACAATAAATCCCTTCCCTGTACTCATCCTTTGGTTGGCCTCATTCTAAATGGATGCAGGTGTTGCCCATGTGTCTTGCTCAGGCCAATAGGATAATAGCAGATGTGACACAAGTGGAGTCTTGGAAAGGGCTTGCACATCGAAGCTTTCCTCTCTCTCACAGTGCTTGGAAACCCTAAGGTCACAATGAGAATAAGCCTGTGCCCATCTACAGTCAATGTCAGTGGCATGGCTGCTCTTCGGTCTACTATTTGTTCTTAAAATGTGTGCTAAGTTTGTTATGGCCATGTAACAAATTACCACAAATTTATCAGCTTAAGACTACACCCATTTATCATCTCTCAATTTCTGAGTCAGCAGTTGGCACATGGCTTTGTCGGGTCCTGGCCATTGGATTTCACAAGACTGTGCCACAGTGTAGATTGGGCTTCATTCTCACCTGTGAGTCCCCTGAGAACATAGATACTTTAGAGCTCTTTCAGGTAGTTGCAGAGCTCATTCCTTAGCATTTCTATGACTCAGGGCTTCAATTTCTAACTGGCTCTTGGCTCAAGGCTGCTCTTAGGTCCAAGAGGCTGTGGACAATTCCCTGCCATGTGATGCTCACACAGGCAATGCCCACATGGCTGGTTGCTTGTTCATGGTCAGCAGAAGGTTTCAGAGAGTGTCTCTTTCCAGTCTGCTATGACAGAGGCTTATAGAATACAATCATTGGAAAGACATCTCATAACCTATGACATATCATATGGATTAGAAGCAAGTCTAGGTTCCGCTTGCTCTCTGTGGAGGTAGATTATACAATTGTGTGATTCACTGGGGAGAGGGTTCTGCTAGGGTGTTCTGGCATCTTTAGTTTCCTCAAATATCAGGTACTTGTACTGAGTGTGAAATCTGTCCTGTACTTACTGGCATTGACTAGTCCTGTGACCCCTGGGAACATCTTGGGAAGCATACTTTGTAAGAGAGGTTTTAGGGTAACCTAGCTATTGGAAGCATAACATTTGCAAAATATCCTAATCTTTGTGATTTCTAACATGTCCTCAAGGTTCCTTAATTGCAATTATCATAAGCCAATTATCTCTAAATATCCGCAAAATTTATATTTAATAGTAGGAAAATGATTTATTAAGGAGTCTATTAAACAAGACTCAGGGAAATGATGTCAACACCCAATTGCTGCTGCCCACTGCTAGACTATGTGAGACAATTTTCATGAACAATAGAACAGATACTGCATGCTAGACACTTCTGTGAGCACCACTGGCCTGCTACCTCTAGAAATGTTTGCAGAACAAGGGCAATTGCTATGAGTCTCAAAATATATATTTTTTTATTATACTTTAAGTTCTAGGGTACAAGTGCACAACGTGCAGGCTTGATACATAGGGATATATGTGCCATGTTGGTTTGCTGCACCCATCAACTCATCATTTACATTAGGTATTTCTCCTAATGCTATCCCTCCCACTGCCCCCGACCCCATGACAGGCCCCAGTGTGTGATGTTCCTCACCCTGTGTCCAAATGTTCTCGTTGTTCAATTCCCACCTATGAGTGAGAACATGAGGTGTTTGGTTTCTTTTCCTTGTGATAGGTTACTGAGAATGATGGTTTCCAGCTTTATCCATGTCCCTGCAAAGGACATGAAATCATCCTTTTTATGGCTGCATAGTATTCCTTGGTGTATATGTGCCACATTTTCTTAATCCATTATATCATTGATGGACATTTGGGTTGGTTCCAAGTCTTGCTATTGTGAATAGTGGCATGATAAACATATGTGTGCATAGTACCATGATTTATAATTCTTTGGGTAGGTACCCAGTAATGGGATTGCTGGGTCAAGTGGTATTTCCAGTTCTTGATCCTTAAGGAATTGCCACACTGTCTTCCACAATGGTTGAACTAATTTACACTCCCACCACCAGTGTAAAAGCTTTCCTATTTTTCCACATCCTCGCCAGCATCTATTGTTTCCTGACTTCTTAATGATTGCTATTCTAACTGACGTGAGATGATATCTCACTGTGGTTTTGATTTGCATTTCTCTTATGACCAGTGATGATGAGCATTTTTCATGTGTCTGTTGGCTGCATAAATGTCTTCTTTTGAGACGTGTCTGTTCACATCCTTTGCCCAATTTTTGAGGGGGTTGTTTGGTTTTTTTCTTGTAAATTTGTTTGAGTTCTTTGTAGATTCTGGATATTAGCCCTTTGTCAGATAGGTAGATTGGAAAAATTTTCTCCTATTCTGTAGATTACCTGTTCACTCTGATGGTAGTTTCTTTTGTCATGCAGAAGCTCTTTAGTTTAATTAGATCCCATTTGTCTATGTTGGCTTTTGTTGCCATTGCTTTGGTGTTTTAGTCATGAAGTCCTTGCCCATGCCTACGTCCTGAATGGTATTGCCTAGGTGTTCTTCTAGGGTTTTTATGGTTTTAGATCTAACATTTAAGTCTTTAATCCATTTTGAATTAAATTTTGTATAAGGTGTAAGTAAGGGATCCAGTTTCAGCTTTCTACATATGGCTAGCCAGTTTTTCCAGCACGATTTATTAAATAGGGAATACTTCCCCATTTCTTGTTTTTGTCAGGTTTGTCAAAGATCAGATGGCTGTAGATGTGTGGTGTTAATTCTGAGGCCTCTGTTCTGTTCCACTGGTTTGAATCTCTGTTTTGGTACCAGTACCATGCTGTTTTGGTTACTGTAGCCTTGTAGTATAGTTTGAAGTCAGGTAGTGTGATACCTCCAGCTTTGTTTTTTTTTGCTTAGGATTGTCTTGGCAATGCGGGCTCTTTTTTGATTCCATATGAACTTTAAAGTAGTTTTTTCCAATTCTGTGAAGAAAGTTATTGGTAGCTTGATGGGGATGGCATTGAATCTATAAATTACCTTGGGCAGTATGGCCATTTTCACTATATTGATTCTTCCTATCCATGAGCACGGAATGTTCTTCTATGTGTTTTGTGTCCTCTTTTACTTCGTTGAGCAGTGGCTTGTAGTTCTCCTTGAAGAGGTCCTTCACCTCCCTTGTAAGTTGGATTCCTAGGTATTTTATTCACTTTGACTTAATCTGTGAAGTGTATTTAAATTCTCATTCTAGAGAAGAAAAATCCAAAGTACTTGGAAAAGAGAAATCTTGCCATGAGATACACAGTTCTTCAGTTTCAAAGCAGAGATTATCTCTCAGATATTCTGGCTCATACAATTTTCAGTACACTGCAAGACAGAAGATGTGAAGACAACACTACCCAATTGGCCTTACACTTGCTTTGCTCACTGTTAACTAAGTTCACTGTAAAAAAAAAAAAAAAGATTACAATAAAACACATTGTCAATGAACTGTCACAAATAAATACATCTTTAGAACCACATCCAAAATCCAGACATAGAACATTTCTATAGCTCCAAAACATTTTGACCCACTCTTTTGGAATCAACTTGCTTTCTGCCTCACAGATCAGGGAATTTTGATCTGCTTCCTGTCAGTACAGATTTCATTTTCCTTGTAAGAGTTTCACATAAATGAAACATAGGATGCGCTCTTTTGTGTCTGGTGACTTTTGTGCAGCATGACTCTTTCTCAGATTCATTCAGATGTCCTGTGTTCTAATTATGTGCTCCTCTTTATTTTTGAGTATTATTTAACTGTTCAGTAATTTTATGATGGATCCCTTCATCTATTGATTGCCGTGTGGGTTGTTTCCATTTTGGGCTATTATGGATAAAGTTGCTGTGAATGTTCTTGAACAAGACTTTGCATGAACATATGTCTTCATTTCTTTTGGGCTAATACCAAGGCGTGTAGTTGCTGTGTTTATCAGTAAGTGTTTAATACTCTGTCCGACTTTACCGAAAGTGGCTATAATATTTTATATGTCCACCAATAACTTATTATAGCTCCACACCCTCCAAAATATTTCAATTTTTTTTTTAAGATTTCACCTAATTGTCACTCAACAGTAACCAGAATAGCTAGTGATTATTAAGCTATGTTTTTCTTCCCATTTTCTTGTCAATTTGGGGAATTGATGTGTTACAGGACATTGAGAACAGAATCAATACTGTCCTAGTTCCCTATCAAACACTTTTATCAAGCCATAATATTTAGGATGGTAACATGATATATAAAGGGAGTGTTGGAGTAGTAATAAGTATTTTCAATACTTATTATATTCCATAAAGCAATATATCTTCAATGAAATGGCATTTAACTAGACTTAGCATAGTAAGGTTCTCATCTCAACCCTAGTATTCAGTATTAGCAAAAGTTTGAGGAAAAAAAATATCCAGCAACATAAGCCAGAGAGTGTTTTGCTAGTCAAGTAGCACTGCAATACTGATGCTCTTCTAATGCCAGCCCTTCACAATAATTTCCACTCAGAACATTTGGTTGCCTCCTTGCCTTGTTCTCCTTATGGGACTTCATGCTGAGGGCATGTGGCATCACAGAGGGAGCAGTGCACTTGGGTGCAGAAATATAGCTTAGTAGATTGTCTGGCCTTAGAGGTGGCTGCAATGGAATACACATTTTCAAGGAAGTTCCCTGTTAAACCTCCTGGTAAACTGATAGTTAAGACCAGGTGCGGGGACTTATCCCCGTTATCCTAGATGTTTGCAAGATCAAGTAGGGAGGGTAGCAGAAATCTAGGAGTTCAAGACCAGCTTGGAAAACACAGGGAGACTCCCTCATCTCTAGAAAAAAAACACTGTTTGTTAAGATGTGGTGTGAACAATGGCATCTCTAAGTGATTATTTATTAACATTTGCTGAGAAAATTAGAAAATAGAACGATGCCTTCTGATCCAATAATATCATAATAAAGATGTGAAGTTTTTAAACTATGGTAAGTATAGAGAACATAAAATTGCCCATCTTAGCCATTTTCAAGTGTACAGGACAATGGCATTAAGTATAGTCACATTGTTGGGCTAGCATCAATAATATCCATCTCCAGAACTCTTTCCATCTTCTAGAACTGAAACTCCATAGCCATTAAATGACAACCCCCTCCCCGTTTCCCCTGCTCCCAGTCCCTGGCAACCTGTAATCAAGTTCTGTCTCTATGACAGTGACTGCTGTGAAGCAGGTTTGCTGTGCCCTGGTTACCAACCTGTCAGAGTCCAGGGAGACAGAACAATCATACACAACAAGTTACAAGAATCTAGTTTAGTATTTACAGGTGACCAGCAAGGCACGGCAGAAGCTGAGGATTTATTGTGGGTCTTTACCCTGAGGCACAGGTAAGTGGGGCTGATGGAATCTTGACTGTGTGTACCCCTCTTGGACCAGAGCTAAGGAACCCCAGAAAGAAGATGCTCTGGGTTTTAAACCCTGGTGTCACAGGACACATGGAGCTAAAGTACTGGAGGACTTAAGTACAGGAGGACAGTACTAGAGGGAGCTGGATCAGAAGCCAGTCTGTTCTGACCTGTCCCTCGCTATTTCAGAATGTTACATTTCCAGCACATTCTACAATTATTATTGAGAAGTGTAAGAAAGAGAGTGGGGAAAATCAAGTGAGTCCAGGACCATCAGAGGACTGGAGTGAAGTCGTCCCCCAACACAGACATCCTCCGTAGAAAGCTATTCCATTTTATACGCCTACCAACCACCGTGAACTGGAGGCACAGGTGTGTCTTGTCAGACGGATGAAGCACCTTGACTGACACAATCTCAAAGCAACATCATTGAGACAGAGCCAGAAAAGATTTCACTGGGCCAATGAAAACTACTACCAGAGGCAGAATGATCAGGCCCACCTGAAGCAGTTATGTAGCCCAGGATCCCATGATCCACAGAAGAAGTTGCTAAAGGGGTGAAAGAAGAATCCTTCAGGTGGGATTTTCTGAATCTGCAGAATCCATTTTCTGCAATTATGAGCTTGTTTCCAGATCTCCTCTACTTGAATTTCTAGGATACCTGAGGTGTTTATCCAGGTATAGCAGGGGGTATTGGAAATTGTATACATTCCTCCCAGTTGGGATTTTTTAAAGGTCTAGAGCAACACTGTTATCTTAAACATCCATCCCGATGGAGTTAAGGGATGTCTGCTGGGTTACCAAGGCAGTGGCTATGGAGGAGGAGCAATATCTGCCATGGTCAGGGACAAGTTCCTTATCATTTCACTTTTTTTCATGAGCACTGACTCCTATACATAGTACCAAAAATATCATAAAAGACATAAACCTATCATCTGTTGTACCTTCTGGTAGGTCCCTAGTAAGTCTGAGGTACAGCTTTGGGCTTCAGGCTCTATGATTTACCTAATTCCAAGGAGCAATATCCAGAGACAACCCCAGCATGCCCAACATGCAGGATCTCACTATTCCACAGATATCCAGAGATGGCATCACATATCCTGCATTTTGGTCACTCCCAAACCGCTTACAGAGAAAGATGTAGCCCTTGGGTGCATACAGCCCCCCTTTTCCCATTTTTCTTCAATCACTCTGTCATGGTTATGCTGGTATTGGTGCGTTCATTAGCCAAGTCTCACTGATAGTAGAGTTGCATGAGCAAAGTTTTGCTCATACAATATTGTCTGTAGACAGAGGGCTAGCATTAGTCCAGTCCTTGTTTTTATCATTGCCATTGGGATGTTTCTCATCTATGCAATCAAAAAAGTATGGTGCATCAAAATATTAGTCCACCAATGTTTTTTTTAATTGTGGTCATGACATTCGCCAGAGGCAATTAAGTTAAACAGGGGTCCTCCAGTTTCCTCCCATGTGGCAGGTGTCAGATTCTCACTTTGTGGGCCAGTGCTTGGGTCCTTTTGATGTACACCTTAGTATTAGGAATGTTGGTGTAATTTACCCTTGGTAGAATGAAAGGGAACCTCTAGTTAATGACAGAATGAGGTCAAGAATGGGAGATTCACTATTTTGAAAGATCACCCTGGTGACCTAAAAGAAGCTAACAAAGACATTGTGCTTCTAGGCCTTTGCTGCCTCATTCTTGTCAAAATGCAGCCTCACAGGTTAATGCATCGTCTCTCACCCATCCCAGGGTCTCAGGTGTCCCCTACCCATCTACAAGGGTTGGGCCGTGTTGGTGTAGGAATGCGGTCTGGCTGTCCTTGCTCTGTGAACAATCCATTGCCTTTGTCACTTGATCCAGATATTTCAGTCCTGATTGTCCACTCCAGGAAGGGAGATTCTGCCCTGTAAAAACTGGACATATTTCATAATATCACCAACACTAAAGGGAGGATAAGATGTCCCTGGCACCAGAAGAGGGCCCCTAGCTCCGTGATATTTCTTAGTCTTGTTATCCATCACTGTGGGATCTTGTAGAAAGGAAGCACCCAGAGGAAACATAATCCTCCTATTAGAGTTAGGGGGCCTGTCTGGGGCATTGTAATGGCCTAGATTGCAAACCACCCCAGAGCATGTATTCTAAAGGAAAAAAAGAAAAGGAATGGTTAGGAACACTGAAATAGCTTTCACAGGTCCAGACTAATATAAGTGTCTGCCTGGCCTACCTTTACTTCCACCCAGCTCTGTGTTTCTCAACATGCACTATTTCCCTTTTTGTGGCCCAGGATCTTTAATGTACATATTTCTCTAGTCAGATGGGATACCACCCCATTAACAGACTTTGTAGATGTCCTTTCTGCATATTGCTGTGTGATTCCACTGATCTAGCATTCACTAGGATCATTGGCCTGTGGATGCAGGGTGCATGGAAAGTTCATCGTGTTCCATGAGAGTGTGCCTATTGTCACGTTGCTTGGGCAGTGAAAGATGCTCCTTTGTGAGTGAGAAGTCTCATGGAGTATCCAAAAATATGACATAAATTGCACTCAAGGGTTACCTAGGTAGTCCCAGCATCAAATTCAGCATCATATTTCTTTTTCCTGCAGGTGGAAAGCTGTGGCCATAGTCCTTTCCTTCACACTGGGGATTCTTTAATAGTCCAGTCTCTCAGTTGCCATTTTCCTGAACAGATGGCAAGGCTGTTGACAATGGCCGAGGATTTAGTGGATATGTGGCATGGTGCGTTGTTGGGACAGCCTGCATGGCCATTACCACTGAATGTAGTTTTGCCCACTGGGTAGAAAGCCCATGTTAAGTTTCAGTTAAAAAAGTGGCCATCCACTGGCTGAATGGTGGCCACACCTAGTGGATCTGTCAGTTAGCATTTTGCTCAGCCTTCAGTGACTCCTGCCATATGGAAATCTCTGAATCTTGGGCTCCACATGGGCAAATAAAGAGCCAAATTATCACCTACAAGTTATTTGGTCCCTTCTAGCAAGCTCCCCATTTGTTCATGGAGCCACAGATCCTGTGGGGTCCTGACTAAACCTGATCAAGAATGTGCCATTTCCATTTGATAACATGGCTCTGTTCAGATTGTTCAGTTTTACTAATGGTGTTTGTAAGTATCTAAGTGAGAATGGACAGCTAAGGGACCAGTGTCACAGTCACACATGGTGCTGAAGCCTTAACATGTTCAGTCTCCATCAGTGCCTAATAGCAAGCAAGGAGTTGCCATTCAATATAAACACATTCAGTGGCTGATTCAGGCAACTTATGTGTCCTAAGATTGAGAGGCTGGTGCACTCATTGATAGTTTTCTGTTGCTATACGCTCCACTGAGTATGCATAGAGGTTGTGGATACCTGGACTTCCATCTGGTTAGCAGGCTGTAAAAATCTTAGAGAAGTGACTGGGCCAGGCCTTGTTGAACAGATTCCAAGGCTACTGTTGCAAAACGCCTTTTTCAAAGTTGGCAACTTTGTTCATGATTTTGACTAAGGGAACCAAAAGAACACCCAGGTGAGGTTTATGCCGTCTCCCATTCGCAAAGGGGCCTACCTGCCACTGAGTCTCCTTTTATTCAGTGGGTGCCACAGCGACCAATGTTTCCAGCTGTTCAGTTGGCATAATAATTAACTATGAGTACACAGCTCACTTTCACTATACATATATTCCTTGATGGAAGTTACAGCATCATACATGATTAGCGTGTCAGAACCTTCACCACATCTGATAGGGTATCAATTCAATTACCTAGGGTTTGTGTGTCAGTTTTGCTTGACTAAGAATATGTTTTCTCCTTTCTATAGAGACGGCTGCACCTGTGCAGGTGATAAGATCATGAACTGCACCCTTTGCCTTACTTTTTTGTTGTAAATAATTTGCCCGATTCAATGCCATATTATGGAAGAATTTCTTAACTGTGATGAAAGCACTTGGAAAATCCTCAAATAATATTTCATGCAGAAATATAACTGAAAGAAAGACAAATGCATATACAGGAAAACAACTGCTGCTCTTCTCATGTTGGATGAGGCCTGCTAAAAACACCTGACACCAGCTGTTAGTCTGATCCTTGATGTCTGGTACAATCTTGGGTTATTCTCCTTGGAAAAGTGGATGCTCAGAAGTGCCAGTATCCCCATGAGTCCCAGTTAACTGAAATTCATATTGTTAAGCCCATGCATGGATAGTCATGACATCAGTTCATGAGATTCCCTGGGAAAGCTGGGAAAGGTAACTGATGAAGTCCATGTTTTGAATTATTTTAATTATTTTGAGCTCCTGCTTCTAATGGCCTTTAGATAAATATTCACTTGGAAAGGATTTATTTTTTCTACTGGTCCTTTTTTGGAAGGTCCAGTCATATCTCCTCCAGAGTGACTTTGTGTCCAATCCTTCAGATGTGTTTCTTCTAAGGCCTGATGATCTGTCAAAACCACTAGTCAAGATAGTGATATTGTTGGTAATATCCAGAGCGGGGAGAGGACAATAGTACTCCCAATATTGCGGGAGGTGTACACCCCTCTTTGTGTTATTGTTCTTAATATCCAGGGGGAAAACAGGATGACGTTACTACCAATATCGTGGGGGGTTTACACCCTCCCTTGTGAGATTCTTCATAATATCCGGCAGGGGGGTGGATAGGACTATATTATTCCCAATATCGTGGGGGGTGTACACCCCTCTTGTGATATTATTCATAATATCCTGGGGGGAGACGACAATATTACTCCCAATATCGTGGGGGGTGTACACCCCTTATTTTGATATTGTTCGTAATATCCAGGGTTGGAGAGGACGCCATTACCCCCAGTATTGCGGGGAGTGTACAACCCCCTTGTGATATTGTTCGTAATATCCAGGGAGAGAGGAAGATATTACTCCCAATATCGTGGGGAGTGTACACCCCCAACTTGTGATATTGTTCATAATATCCAGGAGGGGAGAGGACGATATTACTCCCAATATCGCCCGGGCTGTACACGCCCCCTTGTGATATTGTTCGTAATATCCGTGGGGGAAGGGAAGATGGTATTACTTCCAAAATCGTAAACACATTGTGTGTACACCCCCCTGTGATATTGTTCGTAATATTCGGGGTGGGGGGGAGAGGATGACGTTACTTTAAATATCGTAAACACGTTGTGTGTACACCCCCCCACCCCACGATATTGTTCATAATATCCAGGGAGAGAGAGGAGATGATATTACTTTCGATATCGTAAACACGTTGTGTGTACACCCCCCTGTGATATTGTTCGTAATATCCGGGAGAGGAGAGTATGATATTACTCCCAGTATCACGGAGGGTGTACACCCCCCGTGATATTGTTCATAATGTCCAGTGGGGGAGAGGAGATGTATTACTTTCAATATCGTAAGCAACTTGTGTGTACACCCTCCTTTGGTATTGTCCATAATATCCAGGGTGGGAGAGGATGATATTACTGGCAATATCTCGGTGGCTTTACACACCCCTGTAATATTGTTCGTTAAGGAGTTAAGAGGATGATATTACTCCCAGTATCGCGGGGGAGTGCACGCCTCTGTGATATTGTTCATAACATCTTGGGAGAGACAGGAGGAAATTACTCCCAACATCGCGGGGCATGCACAGCCCCCTGTGATACTGTTCGCAATATCCAGCGGGGAATAGGATGACATTACTCCCAATATTGCCGGGGATGTTCACCCCACTGTAATATTTTTCTTAATATTCAGGGGGGAAGGATGATATTAATCATAACACTGCGGGGGGTGTACACCCTTCTGTGATATTGTTCATTGTATCCAGGGATGGTTGGAGATGATATTACTTTCAATATCGTAAACACCTTGTGTGTACACCCCCCTGTGATATTGTTCCTAATATCCAGTGGGGGAAAGGATAATATTACTCCCAACATCTCGGGAAGTGTACACGTCCCTGTGATATTTTTCATAATATCCAGGGGGGCAGAGGATGATATTACTCCCAATTTTGCGGGGGGTGTACAACCCACTGTGATATTGTCGTAATATGAAGTGGGAGAGAGGATGATGTTACTCCCAATATCGCCGGGAGTGTACACCCCCCTGTGATATTGTTTGTAATATCCAGGGGGGGATTGGAGGTGATGTTAGTTTCAATATCGTTGACACCTTGTGTGTACACCCGCCTGTGATATTGTTCGTAATATTCAGAGGGGGAGAGGATGATAATACTCCCAATATTGCGGGGAGTGTACACCACCATGTGATATTGTTCATAATATCCAGAGAGGGGAGAGGATGATATTATGCCCAATATCGTGGGGGGTGTGCCCCCCCTGTGATATTCTTGGTAATAATCGGGGGGAGATGACATTACTTCCAATATTGTGGGGAATGTACACCCCCTTTTGATATTGTTTGTAACATTTGGAGGGGAGAGGATGATATTACTCCCAATATAGTGGGGGGTGTAAAATCCCCCTGTGATATTGTTTTTAATATCCGGGGGGATTTGAGATGATATTACTTTAAACATCGTAAACACCTTTTGTGTACACCCCCCTGTAATATCGTTCATAATATCCAGGTGGGGAGAGGATGATATTACGCCCAATACCACGGGGTTGTACATACCCCTGTGACATTGTTCCTAATATCCAGGGGAGGAGGGGTTGATATTATTCCCAATATCTCAGGGAGTGTACACCTCCCTGTGATATTGTTCATAATATCCAGGGGTGATTGGAGATGATATTACTTTCAATATCATAAACTTTTTGTGTATACACGCCCCTGTCCTATTGTTTGTAATATCCAGGAGGGGAGAGTATGATATTACTCCCAATATTGTGGGGGGTGTACACCCTCTTGTGACATTTTTTGTAATATCTGGGAGGGAGAGGATGATCTTACTCCTAGTATTGCAGGTGGCGTACTCCCTGCCATGATATTGTTTGTAATACACAGGGCTGCCAGGATGATATTACTCCCAATATCTTGGCATTGTACCCTGGCCCAGCATGATGTTGTTGTTCGTAATACCCAGGCAGGGAGAGGATGATATAACTCCTAATATCACATGCAGTGTACCCCCTCTGTAATATTGTTTGTAATACCCTGTGGTGGAGAAGATAATATTATTCTCCATATCAGGGGTGATTTACTCCTCTTTTGTGATATTGTTCCTAGTACCCTGTGGTGGAGAGGATGAAATTGCTCCCAATATCACCACCGATGTGACATTGTTCATAATACTCAGGGCAAGTCTTTCCTGTGTTTGTCCCATGATAGGGAATAAGTCTCTTGAGATCTGATGGTTTTATGAAGAGGAGTTCTGCACAAGCTCTCTCTCTTTGCCTTTTGCCATCCACGTAAGTTGTGTCTTGCTACTTTTTGCCTTCTGCCATGGCCGTGAGGCCTCCCCAGCCATATGGAAGTGTAACTTAATTAAACCTCTTTTTTTTGGTAAATTGCCCAGTCTCGGATATGTCTTTATTAGAAGCATGAAAATGGGCAAATACAGTCAATTGGCACCAGGAGAGTGGGCCGCTATTGAAAAGATACCCAAAAATGTGGAAATGACTTTGGAGCTGGGTAACAGGCAGAGGTTGGAACAGTTTGGAGGGCTCAGAAGAAGACAGGAAAATGTGGGAAAGTTTGAAACTCCCTAAAGAGTTGTTAAATGGCTTTGACCAAAATGCTGATAATGATATGGACAATGAAATCCAGGCTGAGGTGGTCTCAGATGAAGATGAGGAACTTGTTGGGAGCTGGAGCAAAGGTTATTCTTGTTATGTTTTAGCAAAGAGATTGGTGACATTTTGCTCCTGCCCTACAGATTGGTGGAACTTTGAATTTGAGAGAGATGATTTAGGGTATCTGGTGGGAGAAAGTTCTAAGCAGCAAAGCATTCAAGAAATGACTCAGGTGCTTTTAAAGGCATTCAGTTACATAAGATAAGCAGAGCATAAATGTCCAGACAATTTGCAGCCTGCCAATGTGATAGAAAAGGAAATCCCATTTCTGAGGAGAAATTCAGGCCAGCAGCAGAAATTTAAAAAAGTAATGAGGAGCCCAATGTTGTTAATCCTCAAGACAATGGGGAAAATGTCTCCAGGGCATGTCAGAGGTCTTCATGGCTGCCCCTCCCATCACAGGCCCAGAGGCCTGGGAGGAAAAAGTGGTTTTGTGATCCAGGCCCAGGGCCTTCATGCTGTGTGCAGACTAAGGACTTGTTGGCCTGTGTCCCAGCTCTTCCAGCCATGGCCAAAAGGGGCCAATGTAGAGCTCAGGCTGTGGCTTCAGAGGCCCCAAGCCTTGGCAGCTTCCACGTGGTATTGAGCCTGCAGGTGCACAGAAGTCAAGAATTGGGGTTGGGAAACCTTCGCCTAGATTTCAGAGGATGTATGGAAACACCTGGATGCCCAGGCAAGAAGTTTGCTGCAGGGGTGGGGTGCCATGGAGCACTGCTAGGGCAGTGCCGAAGGGAAATGTGGGGTTGGAGCCACCACACTGAGCCCCTACTGGGGCACTGCTTAGTGGAGCTGTGAGAAGAGGGGCACTGTCCTCCAGATCCCAGAATGGTAGATCCACTGACAACTTACACCGTTCACCTGGAAAAGCCACAGATGCTCAACGCCAGCCCTTGCAAGCAGCCAGGAGGGAGGCTGTACTCTGCAAACCTACAGGGACAGAGTTAGTCAAGTCCACAGAAACTCACTTCTTGAATCAGTGCGACCTGGATATGAGACATGGAGTCAAAGGAGACCATTTTGGAACTTTAGGTTTAACTGCCCTCCTGGATTTCAGACTTGTCTGGGGTCTGTAGTCCCTTTGTTTTGGCCAATTTCTCCCATTTGGAACAGCTGTATTAACCCAATGCCTGTACCCACAATTGGGCCTAGGAAGTAACTATCATTCTTTTGGTCTTACAGGCTCATAGGTTGAAGGGTCTTACCTTGTCTCAGATAAGACTTTGGACTGTGAACTTTTGAGTTAATGTTGAGATGAGTTGAGACTATGGGGGACTGCTGGAAAGGCATGATTGGTTTTGAAATGTGAGGACATGATATTTGTGAGGGGCCAGGGGCAGAGTGATATGGTTTGGCTGTGTCCCCAACCAAATCCCATCTTGAATTCTCACAGGTTGTGGGAGGTACCCGGTGGTTGGTAATTGAATCAGGAGGGCAGGTCTTCTCTATGCTGTTCTTATGATAGTGAGTAAGTCTCATGAGATCTGATGGTTTTATAAAGAGGAGTTCCCCTGCACAAGCTCTCTCTCTTTGCCTGCCACCATCCACGTTAAGATGTGACTTGCTCCTCCTTCTGCCATGGTTGAGAGGCCCCCCCAGCTTATGGAATCGTAAGTCCATTAAACCTCTTTTTTTGTAAATTTCCCAGTCTCAGGTATGTCTGTTTCAGCAGGGTGAAAACAGACTAATACAGGATTCAGACAGATTTAGAATTTTAATGGCTTCTTGATGGATTTACCAATTTATAATTATAAAATGTCCATTTTATCTCTTGCGTTAAAGTCATGACCTAGTTTCTGTTGCTCAGTTTTACATGATATGTACTTTTCATCCTTTCATTTTCAAAGCCATTCTATATTCTTACTATAGTGTGTATTTAATGATTAACATACATCTTTGATTTTAATCCTGTCTGATAATTTTATGATTTACTTGGAAAAATTTGTTTATTTACGATGCAATTATTGTAAAGTTAGGGTTAAACCTACCGTCTTGTTTCCTCTGATTTTCTTGATTCATGCTTTCATTTGAATTAGTTTAATTATAGATTTTTTCTTATATTAACTTGCTAAATATGCAAGATTATTATACAGAAGATATCCTCAACTTATTAATGCCTAATACACATATAGTGTATTAAAATTTCTCTCTCAAATTATTTCTAGGTAAGTGACACAAGCAGAATCAACCTTCGGAAGATCATCTATTTCCTGCTGGGTTGACCTGGAATGTGTGATATGACCTAAGGTAACCTTTGAGTCACCACACAGACCTAGAGCTCTGTGTGATGCAGCACTTCCTCAGGAGCTTGCAGTGGCATCAGGGCCCAGCCTTGAATGCCAGGCAGGGGTCTCTCGACTCTGTGATTCTTCCCAGGAAATACATAAGAACTTGCATCTGGGTTCATATCTCAAACGCAACCCACCAGTCTCTCACGTACTGACCTCTGCTCCAAGTCTTCAGATGGTTATTTTTCATGGGGTAAAAATATGGCTTACATATTATCTTGTAATTCTGTTTAAGATGGCATACTTATGTTCCTTTATTCTTTCAAACTTGGTCCTTATTGTTGAAACCCAGCTTTGGAGTTCAGAAAACTACTTTTTACTTCAACATGCTGTGGTTGAGACTGTGGAAAGACTTTTGGCACTAGGTCTTTATTTTTGCATACATTTGCAGCAACATATCTAGTAACTTAAAAATCTAGACCGTGAAGAGTTATATTTTGGTACTCCCTGAAAAAAGTAGGAAAAAATACAGTGCCTGCTGGTGTCCTGGTCAGGGGTCTGCCTTCGGAAAAGTGGTGGGGGGAGGTGGAGGAGGGGAGGGAAACTGTTTTAATATTACCAAACCTTATCAACATACATATACTCTAGTAACTGCTAAACCAAATCAAAAGAATGTATTAGTTTTGCGTTGCCAGTAATCAGTCTCAATTAGGTGCCTGTTACGCAGAACGAATTTACTTGATGAATGAATGTAGGGAAGGAAGAGAGGCTTAGAATGAGCTTTCATTGAGCTTTCTCTTCTCTCGTGTCTCATTGCTCAAAGGGGAGGTGTACCTCCTCCTTTTTGCAGACTCTGTCATGCAAAGGCCGCTGCAGCTGATGGGAACTTAAAATGTGGTGCCTGAGGTGTAGCTGAGAAATTTATGGTCATGAGCCCTCAGCTGTACCAAGTCCTCTGAGTTCTCCAACATCTTGGTCTTTAGGCATCTAAGAGAATCCACAGTGCCTGCTCTCCACAGAAACAACACATCTGGGCAGCTAGGCCACAGCAAGCAGGGAGGTTTGTGTTCAGGACTGTACCATTGTGGGAGAATAATGTGTACTTTGCTGGCAGCAATAAACCCCAACATCCTCAGCATCCATCCTCCTTATTTTAAACATGAAATCTGTCCCCGACCCACTGCCACTGAACCTGTCTGGGACTCCAGGGTCCCTGTTGGAAACCAAATCAATCAGGAGCCGTGGAGGCTGGCCTGGCTTCTGTAGGTCCCAATTCAAATAGGTGTATCCATTACTGTGAAAGGGGCTATGACTGGATCTACAGGAGATAGAGGCTGGCTTTCCAGGGGTGACGGGCAGGGAGAGTAGAGGCTGGGTCACACAGCATCTCCATTGGATCCTGAAATAATAAGAGAGAAGTGCAAGGTTATGTACAAACATTGTGAGCCATTTTAATAATTTTCTGTCTGTTATTTATGTTTTGCTCAATTATTTTTTGTGTATGATTTTGGTTAATACTCCCAAAACATACAGGTTTAAAAAGAACCAAGATTTGCAAAGCACAAATAAGCCTCTAGAAGTCACCTATCCCATCCCCCTCTTTCTGTGTCACAGCTTTCACTAAAGTACATGTCCTTGCTCCTTCTGGAATCTTCCTCACTCTCACAGATCTAGACATCACATGCCCCATCCTGGAGGACAAGACACATCTAACACGAGGACAGAACACACATGGGAGGTGGCAGGGCCCACAGAGTTCACCCTCCCACCCCATCATCCTCCCTCATTTCCCTTCTGCTCTCAGCAGGGACCCAGTGCATTAGCAGCCCTGGGAGCTGAGCAGGGAGCCTCACTGTGGGAAGGTGAACTGAGGAGTCCTGATCAGTCAAGGCAAGGTTAGAGCTGAGCTTTTATCTCAGACTCACAAGGGAAGGTCTTCCCTAGGGGACAGTATGCAAATCCCCTGGTGGGTGCAGTGGGGTGGAAAGAGCCAAGGAGAAGGTGGGGACCTCTCTTGTGAGCAAAATGACATAAATATATTTTATGTTTTTAAGGATATCAAGAGAGGTAAAATCTGTTTCCTGAGTGGCAGAAGGGACATATTTAGATGTTTCCTGCTATTTCCTCTACCCAATTTCTAGTTCGTTAGGACTTTCTCAGGCATGTTTTACACTTCTCTTTAATAAGGTTGAGCTTTCATAAATATTTGGTGATTCTTATTTCTTGGTTCAGGCTTATTTAAAAGAGCCTAGGTTTGTTTTATTTTATTTTATTTAAGGAAAAACACACAGTGCAAAAGGTTCAAATCTTAAGGGTGCAAATGAATGTCAAAATCCAGATCATTTCATGTCATGATCCACATCAAAATATGGAAGGTTTCCAATTCTCTTGCTGCTTTCATTATGCACCTTCCCAGTCAGCAACTGCTGCTCAAAACACAATCAATGTAACTGATACTGTGACATCTATTATAATTGTTTTTTTTTCCTGTACTTAATCTTCATATCAGGTAAACATTTTTTGTAGCTTCTTTCTTATTTCTTTCATTTTTTGAGGGCTTGATTCCTTCTTATCAATTTGAATTGCTGTCTGCTCTCATTCCCTGTTATTCTGAAGGATTTTCTCTTGAATTTTCCACAAGGCACATATGCTATAATGAATTAGTCTTTGTGTATGAAGGAACATTTCTACCTTGCTTTTATGTTTAAATGATTGTTTTGCTGGATATAGCATTTGTGGCTGACTTTTCTCCCCCAGCATTTAAATATATCATTCCACTCTCATCCCACCTCTATTAGTAATGATGAAAATTTAGCCAATACCTTTATTATTGCTTCCTAGTATAGAGTAAGTCAGTATTTTAGTGATGCCTTCCAAATTCTCTGTGTCTTTGTCTTTCAACATTGGTACTATAATGTGTATTGTTATGAACTGTATTGTGCTTATCCTAGAAGGGTTTCACTGAGTTACTTTCATGTACAGACTAATGTGTTTCATCATTGTGAAAAATGTTTTTCATTATTTCTCCATTTTTTTCTTTTTCAGTTTTTATTTTAGAATCAAACCATACATGTACAGATATGTTACAAAGTTATTTTGCATGATGCTGAGGTTTGGGGTATGACAGAAATTATTAACCAGTTAGTGAACATTGTACCCATAGGTAGTTTTTCAGCCCCTGCCCTTTCTCCCTTTGTGTTCCTTCTAGCACAATGTCTATTGTGCCCATCAACCAGGGATTCAATAAAGAAACTGTGGTATATATGCACCATGGAATACTATGCAGCCATAAATAAGAACAAAATCTTGCCCTTGCAGAAACTTGGATGCAGCTGGAGGCCATTTTCCTAAGTGAACAGATGCAGAAACAAAAAACCAAAAACCACATGTTCTCACTTATAAGTGGGAGCTAAACATGGGGTATTCATGGGCATAAAGATGGGAACACATTTTTAGCCTCTTTCTGTCTTCTCCTTTGTGATTCCTAATACAAATTTGTTGGTATTATACACATGGACCTATAATGTCTGAGGTTTTATTCATTCTTCTTTATAATTTTTTCCTTCTTTATATGAGACCATTTCTATTGACTTGTTTTTCAGTTCACTGATTCTTGTGTCATCTTAAATTGCTATTGAGTCTATCTAATACATTTTTCAATTGAGTTGTTGTACTTTTCATTTCTAGATTTCCCAGTATGCTTGTTTTCATAGTTTTGTCTCTGTTTGAGAGCCTCTATTGGTTGAATCATTGTCTTTACAAATTCCTTTTTCAGTCTTTTATTATAGGTTAAAATAATTCTTTGAACATATATTTGATAAGGGTGGAGCACATAGACACCATGGAGATGGACCATAAGGCAGGGAGCTCCGAATTAGATTAGGTGAATTTTGAGTCTCTGACTATATGATGCTCTTGTGGGTTTTAATTATTTCCCATGTTTTATGTTTCTCATATTACAAATAGCTTTTATTTTTAAGATAGTAACTATTATAGAAATTCAGCTTATAAATCCCTGGAAATTTCTAACAGAAAGATTGATGAAAAGAGGGTTTTTTTAGGCCCCCACACCAGCCTCTGCCTGGGACCTGACTTTGTCTCTGAGCCAGTGGAATCTGTGATGAGGTTTTGAGTTGGGCAGTGAAATCACCACAGGGCAGGCTGTGCTCTGGGTGCTTTGGATGACAGGAGGACACTCCTTCAGGGTCAGTGATGCTGGGAGTTCAAAGGGAGACTCAGCATGGAGCTGCCTGTGAGTTATCCCAGCAATCCTGTTTGGACAGTGATCATCTCACAAGTGTGCTCGGAAGCCACTGGATGGCCAAAATGTGGGCTCAGGTTGGAGAAGGACAAAGCTATAGGGATGAAAATATAAGACTCATTTGATACTCTGAAATATCAGTACAACCATCATGAATTATATGGGAAGAGAAAGGAGTCACAAGATTGTGATTTTTTATTTGATATTAAAATATGTCACCTCTGCTCATTTTTCCCTCAAGGATGTACCTACTGATATACATTTAACCAAAGTCACTGTTTTTAATTTTCATTTTAGTAACTGACAGCCTATGTGCAGAGTTCCTAAATAACGAAGCCAGACCATCATTGCTATGGGTGAAGCCAGGAAGTGACTGTGGATGTGAACAAATGTGAGATTCATGTACACGTCTCCAAAGACAGAGGCCACTGATCTGGGGAGAACCTGCAGTCATTTCACTTTCCCATACCCAGATGAGAGGACACCTTGATCTGTGTTCATCTGATGAACTCTAAAATCTGGACCATATTCTGAAGGTGTAGTTCACACTTCTTTTCTGTGCTAGTGGGACTCTCTCACTGACGTGTATTGTACCCTCTGCATAGGACAGTCTGTGATACATACTACTTGTTTTCTGCTAAACACCCATCAATCATGTCATTTATGAGTCTTCCATAGGTGTTACCTAACCTATGGCTATGGGGTCTTCCAAAAGAATGGGCCGGAGGTGGAGCTGTGAAACTGTAGCTGGATAAAAAGTGTAAATGTCAAGAAAGGGTATTGAAGTGGTGATAATAATAATAATAATCCAAATTAGTCTGGGCTCTTGGCTGTGATTACTGGTAAATGTGAAAGAGTCTAGGTTTGGTTTTTATTAGTTTTATTTCAACTGATAAAGTAGCCAGAGTAAAGTGCATAAATCTTGAATGTTCAACTGAATACAGTTTTTGTGTAATTCATTGTCCAAATGGAATGATAGAATATTTCACATTCCCTTGTGCTTCCCTCATGGACAATCTTTGTCAGTTATCACCCCTCCCACCCAGCAAAATTAACTGTCTTTCTGACATCTATACAATCATTTAGGTTTTCCTGTCTTAAACTTTATATAAATAGCATTAAGTGTATTTTTATCTTTTTAGACTTGGTATTGCTCCTTACAACTTTTGAGGCCTTCATTTCTTTCAGAGGATTCAAGGTCCTGTCTTATGTCATTTCCTGTGATTCTGAAGGATTTTCTCTCAAATGTCTTGTAAGAGACATAGCTGCTATGAATGAATGTATTTTGTTTATCAAATAATTTTTTTGCTTTTTCTTTAGATTTGAAGGGTATTTTCGATGGATATAGATTTCCTGGTTGCCTTTTTTTTTCCTTTCAGCATTTAAATATGACATTTCACTCCTTCTAGCCTCTATTGGTCCTGATGAAAACTCAGCCAATGGCTATGTTGTTGTTTTTCTGTATATAGTATCTGCTTTCATTCTTGATGCAATGAAGATTTTCTCTTTGTCTTTCAATATTTTAATATAATGTGTTCAGTTATTAATTCCTATTGATTATCTAAAAGATTTTTATTGAATTTTTTCATCTAAGAATTTTTTATTACTTTTGAAAAGTTTTTGTCATTATTTCTCCAAAGATTTCTTCAGCCACTTTCTCTTTCTCTCCTCCTTTGTGACTCTTATTATACATTTGTTGGTATTCTTCACTCTGAGCTATAAATCTCTGAAGTCTTCTTTTTTTTCTAAACTTTTTCTTTAGACTCAATAATTTCTATACCTCTATTTTCAAGTTAACTGATTGTTCTGCCATCTCAATTTGCTATTAGACCTAGCTAACAAATATTTAAATTGGTTTATTGTACTTTTCATTTCTAGAGTTCCAATTTGGTCATTTTTTATATTTTCCATGTCTTTTCTTGAGCCCCTACTTGCCGAATCTTCTTTTTTTTTTTAAATATTTTCTTTTTTATGTCAATGATCATAGATTTAAACATAATTATTTGAACATCTGCATATTAACTGCTTTGTAGTCTTTGCTAAATCCAATAATTGGGACAAGTTAGAATTAGCTTTCATTGACTATTTTCTGTTGTTATTATTGTAGCTGCTTTATTTTTATTCCTTTAATATTGTTCATACTTCTCTGCTTTTTTCCAGAAGTTGTGAAACTAAAAATTGTACATTTTTGATAGCATATTATAGTAGCTGTCTTTAGATTTTGGGCTTTTTTATTTTAATTTTAACTTTTTTAGAAATAGGGTCTTACTTTTTCACCCAGGCTGGAGTGTGGTGCTGTGACCATAGCTTGCTGCAGCCTCAACCTCTTGGGGTCCAGAGGTTCTGCAGCTTCATCCTCCTGAGTAGCTGGGACTATAAGGGCATGCCACCACTCTCTGTTATTTTTTTTTTTAATTGTAAGATAAGAGTGTCACTATTTTGCCCACCCAGCCTGGTCTCGAACTCCTGGCATCAAGTAATCCTTCTGCATCAGCCTCCCAAAGTACTGGGATTACAAGCTTGAGCCACCATGTCAGGCCTGGAATTTGTTTTGTTTTTCTGATCATTTTTTAATTTTCTTCTTAGTTTCTTGTCTGAACTTACTGATAGTACCTGACTTATGACAGTTGGAGTTATAATGTTTTGACTTTCAGATGGTGTGAATGTGATATGCATTCAAGTAGAAATAGAAATTCTAGTATTTACACAACTATTCTATTTTCTCTTTCAATATAGTATTCAATAAATTACATGAGGTATTCAACACTTTATTGTAAGATAAGCTTTGTGTAAGATAATGTTGACCAACAGTAAGCTAATGTAAGTGTTCTGAGCATATTTAGGATAGGATAGGCTGAGGCATAATGTTAAGTGGATTAGATGTATTAAATGTATTTTCAATGCAAGATATAGAAAAATCTGTATCTCATGTGGCGTTTGACCACAGATATCTCTGCTTCTTTCTGTTCTTAATATTAATATTTAGTTTGATTTTATAGGAACTACACATGTATCTGCATAGCGAAGTGGTCACCAATGATCTGAGACATTTTGCTCAAATATCTGGAGGTTATAAATCTATCTTCTGTCAACCCATCTGTGTGTAGTTTAAAAAGCAAACTGCATGCAAAATGCAGCTAGTTCTTACCTCCCTCTGGTTTTACTTTGCACCGGAAACTCCTAGTTCTCATCACTCATATCTATAACTTCTAGGTCACTAGGAATATGTGCAGAGATTATTTCAGCAATGTGGGTCTATCTTATCCAGGAATCTGCTATTTACTATCAGCAGATGTACTACTTGCCTCAAACAAGGCATCATCTTGGACTAGCAAGGCTGTGGGCTTTTTCTGTTCATTTCCTATGGTGTTCTCCCTGTTTAGCTGGAAACACTGAAGAATTATTTCCCACTCCTTGGCTTCACTCAAGTCCACCCACTTTGGCAGCAAGCTGCCAGTTTTATTTGCTATCCTTACATGGGTAAAACTCCAGTTCTGCAATTCATATTGACTGAGCTGGGAATAGAAGGGTGCTGTCACAGGCAAAAGGCTACAGACATTTTCTGTCCTTACTCAAAGCACTAGTACTTTTTTTTTCTATAAAGAATATGCATCCTTAATTATTTTATGCTTTGCCAATTTTCAGAGTGCTGAAATAGTTTTGATATTTCAACTTTATATTTATAGGTGTGTTTGTTGTTTATTCTTGCACAGATTTATTAAACTCTTTGTGATGCCATAAACAGAGATGCCTTCTGAAATGCGTTTAAATGAATGTAATAGCCACACTGAAATGGTATGATGTAATGGACTAACATAAGTAATTTTGGACTTGAGAACTTGAGCTCCAAAATGGCCAAATAGAGCAGAGATGCTAAAACTGAGTGGCCACCACACTAGCTGTCTGTAAAGGAAGCAGCTGGTATAATCTAGTAAACACTGATGGTCTTCTTGAGGTTTTTGTTTCATGTTGAATCACTGTGGGAGGCCAGTTATTATACTGCTGACAGTAATAAACTGCAAAATCTTCAGACTGCAGGCTGCTGATGGTGAGAGTGAACTCTGTCCCAGACCCACTGCCACTGAACCTGGCTGGGATACCAGTGGCCCTGGTGGATGCACCATAGATGAGGAGCCTGGGAGCCTGGCCAGGTTTCTGCTGGTACCAGGCTAAGTTGCTGCTAACACTCTGACTGGCCCTGCAGGAGAGGGTGGCTCTTTCCCCTGGAGACACAGACAGGGTGGCTGGAGACTGCGTCATCACTATTTCTCCAGTGGTATCTGAAATTGGAAATAAAACAGAAATGCACTCATGTAATCAAAATCAAACCCACTGTCTTTAAGTAGAGCCAAAATTGTTGATCTACATTGAATTTTAATTATATTTCTTGCTGAGCAGAGGTGGCAGGAGTTTTCACTGATGTGCAAAACCACCTCATATTCCCCTCACCTGGGAGCCAGAGTAGCAGGAGGAAGAGAAGCTGCGCTGGGGCTTCCATGGTTCCGTCTGGGTCCTAACTGAGCAGTTCCTCCCCAGAGCTCTGACCCAGGCATTGATATGGGCTCTGGAAGGTAGGGCAGCTGGGAGGGACATGCAAAGCAGCTGGGGTGGGAGCTGAGCTTTCAGCTGCAAAGACCACCTGCTTCTTCCTCTCTGCACTGAGCATCCTGCGCCGCCCTGGTTGTCAGGCCAGAAAAGTCTGTTGGCTCAGTCTGAGTGTAGAACTCCTCCCTTGTGCTCAGAGAATTTCGCTCCTGTGTCTTTCTTCTCCTCAATCACCTAAATCCACCCAGAAGATGTTTGGCACAAGCCTGTTAAGAACAATATAAAAAGCTGTGTTTTCACTTCTCTCTTCCTATCCTCAATATGCCCAGTCATCTCCCTAAGTGCATTATTGGATCGATGGAAATGAAGAGTCTGTTAAAACTTAATCTTCCAGATACACCTTTCATTTGCTTGTTAGTAATGTTTTCTGAGGGTCCTGAAGCTTTCCATTAACCCAGCCACATACCCTCTTTGAGTTAAAAAGTGAAAAACTTCTGTTTACAGTCACATGTCCTGGCAGCCCTGACATAGATGCTCCATGGCTTGCCGATTGCTTGAAATTGATCAAGTAACTTAACTTCCCTGTGTCTCGGTTTCCATATCTGTGTAACTGTGACAATACTGGTACCTACCTTATAGTGCTGTAGACAGTTTAAAGAAAATAAGATAAAACATTTACAATAGTATTCAGGACATTATGTATGCGGCAATTAATTTTGTTTTTATTTATTAAATATTCAGCACTACAGTCATCATCATTATCATAAATATACTTACTTAGCACAGAAAAGAGTCTTCAGTCTAATCCAAGAATGTTTTATCCACAGCCAAATTTAATTCTAAGGCTTTTCCTTCACTAACTCTACACAACTCTTTAAATCCTAATGATTTGGTCTTAATCTGTGCTAAAGTACTCACACCTTCAATCATTCCCACCCATCCCTGTCTAACTCATTAATTCTCATCATCCATTATCAAAATGTTACTCTATAAAAGGTTCCCATGTCCTGTTGCTGTCCTTCTTTCTTACACAATCTTTATTCTACCCTGTTATCTTTTGTCTTATTCTTGCCCCAGGACAATAAGGAAAAGCTACCATCATTACCTGTTGACTTGCTCCAGTATAATTTTTTCAGGCTTGTTACCTTGGAAATGAGGACTATGTCTGGCAAAGAAACATATTCATCGGGTCAATGTGTTATGAAATAAAATATTTTATCTACTTATGATCCAATAATTAATTTAGACCTACTTGAACGGTTTTTTTTTAATGAACGAAGAAGAAGATGATATAAGAGGAAAATACAATACAATAGAAAACACAAGCTATTATAACTCTTGCTTCACGGATTTCTACATATATATTAGACATATGCTGGGTATATGTGTGCAATGGTGATCCAAAAACTGAACGCTAACTGGCTGAAGGAAAGCCTGTATTACATTGGGTCTTGTCTATTTTTCCAATTATGAACAGAAAGCTACAGTACTATTTGTATGAGTATCAAACCTTCTAGCTGCTGTGATGGAGGTAGAGAAGATTTACTGAGACTAAAGCCTTGGAAGTACTAGAAGTTTGTCCTGTGATGTTATGGGTGTTGCTGTGGTTGTTGTTGTTAGGAAATACAGTGGAAGTCAAAGCAAGTAGAAAATTTACAAGCTCTGCTCTTCCTCATACTCACAACCCCTTCTAGAGATGACAGATAGTGGCATAGGAATCTCTGACACCTCTAAGGAAGTCTTTTTTGCTCTTTCCGGGATCTTTCCTGACAAGTATTGTTTTGAGTCACAGATGATGTGGAAGTAGGTGTAGAAGAAAGGACTAGAGCAAGGGAAGAAGTTTTCAATCCCAGGTAGTTGTTGTAGGCACAGGGAAATGGAATTTTTCATAGATTTATGCTACACTTCTATCATGTTGGGGAGAGAGGCATCAAACCAAGCTTATTCTTGAAAGAAACATTACATTATTTTAAAGAGAAGGAACTATGCATTTCTTGTCAAATAGATGTTTAAAATTCAAAGCTACAATTTTTTTTTTTGACAGTATCTTGCTCTGTCGCCCAGGCTGTAGTGCAGTGGTGCGATCTTGGCTCACGGTAACCTCCATCTCCCTGGTTCAAGTGGTTCTCCTGCCTTAGCCTCCCAAGTAGATGGGATTACAGGCATGTGCCACCACACCCAGCTAATAACAGGAGGGAGTAAAGGGCCACACAAGCATGTACACAAGAGACAACTTTTCTTCTTTTTTACAGAATAAGTCTAAATGTAAAATAGCGTTATAATGTATGGACTCATGTTTAAGACAAGTCTCTTGGTTTTCTAATTTGTGTTGAACCCAAGCAGTGTTGTGATAGAAAATGAGTTTCTTTTTCTTTAAGCTGAATTTGAATTTGCTCCAATAGCCTAATAGACACCCTAGTGGTAAGTCCTCTGTGATGCTCGCCATTGTCCCCATGTCTAACAAGGATTTCTACTGGACATAGAAGTTTTTCTAAGTCCAACAAGAGGGAAAGAGACTGGGCCATCATTGTTCTCATCTCAGATTTCCACTTCCTGCATAGAAGGTATACATATAGGTAGCCAGACGTTATGAAAATGGATTGTAAGCATTTGTTAGTGAACAAAATATGACTCAAACAGTATTTTTATTTTTTATTTTTAAATTTCTATTGCTTATTATTTGAGACAGACTGTCACTCTGTCACCCAGGCAGGAGTGCAGTGGGTGCAATCTTGGCTCACTGCAACATTCACCTCCTGGGTTCCAGTGATTCTCAAGCCTCAGCCACCCAAGTAGCTGGGATTACAGGTGTGTGTCACTACGTCCAGCTCATTTTTTTTTTTGTATTTTTAGTAGAGACAGGGTTGCACTGTGTTGGCCAGGCTGGTCTTCCTGACCTGAAATGATCCGTCCATCTTGGCCTCCAAAAGTGCTGGGATTACAGGCGTGAGCCACCGCACTGGGATTTAAGCAATATTTTTATTAAGTAAAGTGTAGAAGAAAAAGTGTAAGTAAGGTGACAATAAGAAAACAAAATGCCGTAATGGAAAACGATAACTTTAGGGCAGAAAACAAGAAAAGGCAAACCAAGATTCCTGTAGGGCAAGCCTCCAATGCACAATCCAAGGAGGAATGTCAAGGGTGAAAACTCTGGAGCATCCAGATAGTGGCCCAAAATACCAAATGCTGAAAACCCAGAATACCCAAGTAACAGCCTATGAGTGTCCCCACACCAAATGCCAGGAAACCCTGGAGTATCCAGGGGCTGACCAGTGCAGAAAATCCTGGAGCCTCAGTGGGGTGGCCAACAATGAGCCCCAAAGGCCTGGTTGGGGCCATAAAACAATGTGACTCTGGCTTCTTAGAGTCAACAGAACAGGAGAATTCTTACATCCAAGTGTCCTGCCTTAAACAATTGCACAAACATAATTAGCAGGGACCCAAAGAAAAAACTGCAAAGCAAACACATATATCGGGGCAGAAAATAAAATAAAATGGCTGATGGATAAATAAAATGGCATTAGAGGAGAAATGACTAAGAGAAAGAACAATGAGGATGTAGTCAGGTGTGCTATGGGGGAATTCAAATGGACTATCTAGCCAAAGGCCTTATTTCCTGGATCATCTATATAGGCAGGTGGATAGATGGGACACTTACAGGTGTGCAGGAGCCAAAATGGGGCCAAGCAGTGTCTGACATGGGGCCTGCATGAAGATCTCTCCAGGCTTCCCAGCTCGGATGGGTTGGGCTCCTATGGGGGAACTGGAGCACGGAGCGGCTGGCCTGCATGAAGCAGTGGCTCTGTGGCCTCTTGCCCATCCCCAGAGCTCCAACACCTGTCAGGAAAGATGATGGTTCTTAAAACAGCCTTTGGCTAGTGTTAATAGCTCTGCAATGTTAACAACTCAGCATAAAGTCACACAGACACACAGACACTGTAGCTTTGATCGCTGTAGCGCTGATCACCGTCTCATCCTCTCTCACTGATCGCTGTCTTGCCACTTCTCCAATAGCTGTCTTGCCCATTGCTGATCACTGTGTCCATCTTCTCATAAAGTGCCATCTCTTGCTGTCTCTTGCTGTCTTGCTTCTCCGCTGTTTCCACTGTCTTACTGCCACATCAAATGCTGCTTCTCACCATCTCTAGTGGTGAGTGGCTGGCTCAATATTGATGCAAGGCAAGTCCTCAGCTTTGCTCAGGAAGGAATGTAAGAGTAAGCCAGTAATAGAAGAAAACAGCTTTATTGATGGGGCAGCAGTGTTACAGCTCTGTGACTACTCCTGCGGAGCAGGGGTAATTCATAGGCAGAGGGCCGAGAGTAGCAGCCAGGGGCATTTTTACAGTCACATTTATACCCACTTTTAATCATGTGATAATTAAGGGGTAGGTTGTTCAGAAATAGCTAGAAAATGGGTGGTGTTGCCCCAACTTCCAGGTGTTGCTATGGCAGGGGCAGGAATTTCCAGGTGTTGCCATGGCAAGCGCTGTGACTTCTGGATGTTTCTATGGCAATGGTAAACTCTCATGGCACTGGTGGGTATGTCTTATGGAGAGGTCCTTTCAGAACCCTGTTCCTGTTTTGGCCAGCCTCACATCTGGTCCTGAGCGGAGTCCTGCCTACCTCTTGCCTCAAAAGTAACAAGAAATCTGTAATGAAAATTTACCCAGACAGAAAACTCCAATTTTATATTTGGTAGTTAGTGACATGGTACTTATCAAAGTTACACAAAGATTCAAGTGAATAAAAAATACTCTCAGAATTATTATAGGAGGTCATAATGTCCTGTAGTCCAAAAATTAATATGCACATAACAAAACAAAGAAATTAAAGGCTGATATCCATTGTGAATATAAAAATAAATATCTTAAGAAAAAAAGAAAAATGCAATCCCACTGTATATCTGCACATTTAGTGAACACACATTGTAAAAAGTGTTACAGTTTTTATAAAAACTCTTGATAGGTAATTTTAATTTCTGAAAAATGTATATGAACTATAAGGTATGTTGGATCTCTTCCCCTAACTTAAAAAATATTTCTTCACATTTAAATTCTTTACCAATTTTTAATGACTTTTTATTGCTTAGAATTTTAGTTGATATAAATAAGAAATGTGTATTAAAAGCCTACCATTTTGATTTAACCTATGAAATATATTTAAATTCTTGGAAAAATCCAAAAATACCTAGAAAAGTGAGCTCTTGCCAGAAGATACACAGTTCTTTAGTGTCAGGCTGAGATTATCTCCCAGAAATAACTTTTGGCTCATATAGCTTCCAGGACACTGCAAGAATAAAAGATGTGAAGACAATGTTACTTAATTGGATTTGCAATTATTCACTATTCACTGTTAACCAATTTTATTGAAAAAAAAGATTCCAATCAAATACACTGATTTTAAGTGTACTGTTGGGTTTAATAAATAAATACATTCTTGGAAGCAAAATCAATACACACAACATTTCTGTAACTCCAAAAAGTTTTGTCCTGCTCTTCAGCAATCAACTTGCTTCCACCTCACAGAACAGACCATCCTTATTCAGCTTATTGTTAGTATAGATTCCACTATCTTTTTAAGAATTTCACATAAAGGAATATAGCACATGTTCTTTTGTGGCTGGTGACTTTCGTGCAGCATAATTGTTTCCTAGGCTCATTCATGTCGCCTTGTGTCCTCGTGATGTGTTACTCTTTACTTTTGAGTACTATTTAAATATGTAGTAATTTCACAATGTATCCCATCACCTGCTGATGACCATGTGGGTTGTTTCCACTTTGGGCTATTATGGATAAAGCTACCACGAATGGCATTATACAAGGCTTTGCATGAATATTTCTTTATTTCTTTTAGGCAAATACCTAGGAGTGCAGTTACTGGGTCTTACAGTAAGTGTTTAATACTCTGTCATACTGTTTTCCAAAGTGGTTATACCATTTTACATCTCAGCCCAGAATTGATGAGAGTTCTCAATGTTTCAGCTACTTGTTTTTAAGACTTTTTCTTAATCATCACTCAACAGTGACCAGAATGGCTAATGATCATTAAGTCATGTTTTCCTTACAATTTCCTTGACTTTTGTGGGTGCTTGACTTGTATCAGGATATTGAAAACAGGATCAATATTGTCTTAACCCCTTTTAAACACTTTTTCTAAGTAATGATATTTAGGATGATAACAGGAGATCTAAAGGGAATGTTGGGAGTAGTAACAGGCATTATCCAATATTTATTATCATACTCCTTAAGACAATACATTTTGAGTGAAATAGCATTCAGCTAGACTAGGGATAAAAAGGTTCTAATCTCAGCTTTAGCATTAAATATTAGGAAACCTCTGAGAAAACAATCCAGGAAGACAAATCAGAGGGTGTTTTGCTAGTGGAGAAGTGCTGCAACACCTAAAACCTATTAATGCCAGATTTTTGCAGTGATTTCCACTCATAAAGTTGGGTTGACTCCTAGCCTTGTTCTCCTATGTGTCTGTGTGACTTTATGCTGAGGGGATGTGACATCACAGAGGGAGAAGTGCACTTGTGTACAGAAACATGGCTTAGGAGATTGGCTTTGGATGTGGCTGCAATGAAATATATATTTTGAAGAAGTCCCCTATGAAATGTCTTATACATTGTTTCTTATGGCAGGGTGCTCGGGCTCACACCTGTAATCTCAGCACTTTGAGAGACCAAGGAGGAAGGATCACGTAAGGCCAAGAATTTGATACCAGCCTGGGCAACATAGGGAAACCACATGTGTACACACACACACACACACACACACACAATTTGTGAACAGTGGCATCACGAAGTGATTATTTATGAACAATTGGCTAAGAAAATTACAAAATAAAGCAATGTCTTCTGAGCTAACAATACTATAATAAAGATGTCAATTATTTAACTGTAGAAAATACAGAGAACATAAAATTGTCTATCTTAACCATATTTAAAAGTGCAGTGCAGTGGCATTAAGCATATTCACATGTTCTGCTATTATTACCGATACTGTCTCCAGAATTCTTTTCGTCTTATAAAAACTAATATCTATACCCCTTAAACAATACTCCCCCCGTTTCCTCTATCCTTATCCCTAGCAACCTCCATTCCAGTTCTGCCTCTATGTCAGTGACATCTTTGAAGCAGGTTCACTGTACACTGGTTACCAACGTACCTGAGCGCGAGGAACACAACACCCCCACACAGCAAGTTACATGAAGGGGGTTTATTATTACAGATAAGCAGCAAGGGATCACAAAACTCTTGGACTCATTATGGATCTGTCCCCCAAGGCATACGAAAGTTATGTGGAGCTGATAGAGTCGACTGTGTGTACCCCGCTTGCATCACAGCTCAGGAATCCGGAAAAGCAGACACTCTGGGTTTTATATCCTGGGGTAATGAGACGCACAGGGCTAACGTGCTTAAGGACATTCCATTCTATGAGAAACTGGAATACAGCACAGGTAGGCTGTTCTGGCCAGTTCCTCTCTATCTCAGGATGTTACAATTCCAGCACATTCTACAATTATTCTTGAGAACTCTTAAAATAATCAAGAAAGTGGAGAGAACTAAGTCAGCCCAGGGTCATTGGAGAACTGTCTTGCAGTTACCCCACCACCTAGACATCCCCCTTAGTAAAGCTAGCATATTTCCTACACCCACCAATGTCCCCCAAACTGAAGGCAGAGGTTTATCTTTTCAGATTGACGAAGCACCTTGATTTACACAATCTCAGTGCAGATTATTAAGCCATAGTGAGAGTACATTTCGCTGGTCTAAGGAAGGCTACTACCACTGGCAGGAGGATAAGACCCCCAAAAGCAGTGACCTAGTCTAGGATCCCATGATCAAGAAATTAAGATGCCAAAGAGGTGAAAGGGGGATCTTTCAGATGCCCCATTGTCTGCAGCCATTGAGCCTGCATCAGGATCACCTCTACTTATATTTCTAGGATACCTGAGGTGTTTATCCAGGTACAGAAGGCAGTGTTGGGTGTTGGTAATTACATGGAACATCCGTTATGTTCCACGAGAATGTGCCCATTGTCACGCTGATTGGGCAGTGAGGTTGTTTCTTGGTCAGAGTGAAGTCTCATGGAGTATCCAAAATATGACATAAATTCCTCTCAAGGGTGGCCATGGTAGCCCGAGCATCTAATAGAGTGACATATATTTAGCAGTCCAGGAAGCAAGCTATTGCCATAGTCCTTTTCTCCACACAGGGGATCCTTTAGTAGTTCAGTCACTCAGTTGCTGTTTTCCTGACCAGATGACTGGGTTGTTGAAAGTGGCCCATGATTTAATGGAAATGGAGCAAAATATAGTGTTAGGGGCAGCCTGCATGGCTGCTATCATTGTATGTAGTTTGGCCCATTGGGCAGAATGGCCATGTTTAGTGTCAATCAAAAGATGCCATCCCCTGGCTGGATGGTGGCCACACCCAGTGGACCCACTGGCATGTGTTTTGTACAATCATCAGGGCCCCATGCCATATTGACATAGGCATGTCTTTGAATCTTTGACTCTATGTGGCCAAAGGAGAAGCTGAATTGTCCCCTGTGGGTCATTTGTTCCCTTCTTGCAAGCTTGTCATTTGTTTATGGGGCACATGGGTATTGTGGCATCCTGGTTAGGGCTGATTCTTACTGTAACATTTCCATTTAGTAATTTGGATCTGTTGGGCCTGTCCAGTTTTATTGATTGTGTTTGTAGGCACCAAAGTGAGAATCTGTAGTTAAGGTAGCAGTGTCACTCCTGGTCCTCTAGCTCTGAGATACTCAGGCCCTATCAGTTTCCTACAGCAAGTAAGGAGTTGCCATTCAAAAGAGGCACAAATGGTGGCTGCTTCAGGAAACATTTGCCTCCAAAATCTAAGTCTGGTGCACCCAGTGACAATTTTACATTGCCACAGACTCCAGTCAGCATGCCTAGAAATAGTGGACACCTGGATTTACATCGAGCAAGCAGGCTCTAAAGGTCTTAAAGAAATGCCTTGGACATGTATTGTTGAATAGATTCGAAGGCTACCGTTGCAAAGGGCTCCATTCAAAGTTGTCAAATTTGTTCATGCTTTTGACTAAGGTGACCAAAAAAAAAAAAAAAAAAAAAAAAAAAAAGACTCAGGGGGACAGTGCAGCTAGGTAAGAATCCAGTGGCTTTCCCGAGCTTATTTGTCTTGCATTTTTGGTGACATGGATTGTTGTTCATATCGGCTTCCTCTGGCAGGTCCACCTGGAAAGCATTATATTTAGCAAGAATAAAGGAGGCTGTGAATGATGTCACTGCGGACTGCGTATATTCCCTGTTGCAAATGTCAAATCCATGAAGCAAAAAGGGATTTACTAGAGGTTATTAAATTCCTTACAAATTGTTGAAAAGCCTTAAAAAACAGGCTCCAGTCAAAGCCTCTAGAACAATTCCAAGAATCGTACTGCTGGCACAGGTCGGGGGAGCATCTCCTGCGCCTGAGACTCCACATTCAAGCTGTCTCTTGCAGCAGAAGAGAGAGCAGCTCTTCTCACTACTGCCCCCAGAAGGACAGCAGCTCTGGTATCAACTATCAACTGCTAGAAATCTGACCCCTTTCTCTGACTGCCCATCAGATGTGTTACTACAGAGTCGTTTTGGATTGAGATGAGGGAGGGGAAATGCCTGATCTCACTCAAATGTGCTCATTTTCCTGGTCTGAGTCACAGCCAGGCAGCACAGTCCTGTGGGCACAATATCTTCACTTGCCAGGTTCCTATAAAATGGGAGTATCTTTCTTGACTGTGGAAAATATGGAGGCGAGGAGGGTCAAGCAATAGCAAAAGGAGTACTTGGAGTTGCCTGAGCTTCCACTCTGGTTTCCCCAAATGTTTTCAATCCATTTAATTCATGATAATAAACACCTTTCTGCCTAACCAGCCATAATCGCTTTTCTTAGGTCCAAATGATTCAGTGATAAAACTAAAGAGAAAAAATAAATACACTTTTCAACGTTGAAGCTGACCAGGTGTCTGTCTCTGGTGTTTACCCCTCCACATCCCACGATGTGTTTCATCTTCCCTTTGCCTCACTGGAGATCCAAGTGCAAGTAATGCTTCACATGACTGTGATCCCTAGAACTTCATCCTGATGACTGTTGAAATCTTCTCTGAGTTTTACCAGTGGAAATGGCAATAAATAGAAAGATTCCAGAAGGTCCCCTAGGGTCCATATTTTCTGTACTTCCTCTCTAAAATATGTAAAGTCAATTATGTTTGCTCTTGCTTTATATGGGCTAGATCTATGGCCCCAGCACACATCTGAACGCCCTGTGTTGACAACTTATCCAGTATTGTATTGAGTCTGAATGGTCACATGCTTATCATATCATTTCTTCCAATTTCATGCAATAATTGTCATGTCAACTGTTTGGATTAAGAACCATCAGCCAGAAAACCACAGCCCTGAGAAAATAGAAATAGAGTATTTCAAGCTGTTCAGTGGGCATAGCAATGATGAGTCTACAGCTCATTTTCAATATATAAATATTCTGTTTATGAGAGTAACAGTGTTTCAGAGCCTCCACCACATCTGACAGCATAACAATGCAATAGCACAAGAGTTTGTGTGCCAGCGTTGCTTGACTAATAATGGGTTTTTCTTTGTCTATAGGGTAAGCTGCACCTGTGCACATGACAAGATCATGAGCTACACTTTGCTTCACTTTTTTTGAGGTCAATAAACTGCTTGATCCAAAGCCATATTATGGAAGAAATTCCTGACTCTGATGAAAACACTTGGAAAATCCTCAAATAATATTTTATGCAGAAACATAACCGAAAAAGAAGGCAAATTCATATATTGCAAATAACCAGTGCCTTCCTCATGTTGCATGAGGTCCACTAGAATCACCTGACACCAGCTGTTAGTCTGAGCCCTGATGTGTGGTACAATGTTAAGGGTTCAAGAGGCATCAGTTTTCTTGGCAAATTAGGTGTTCAGAAGAGCCAATAGCCCTGTACATCTCAGTTAGTTGAAACTCACATTACTGAGTCCCCACAGGGACCTTATTAACATTGGTTCATGAGGCTACCTGGGGAAGCTGGGAAAGGTGATTGACTGAAGTCCATGTGTTGAATCATCCTGATTATTAAAAGCCCCTGCTTGTTAATGGCATTTCACTTAATATTCACTTGGAAAGCATTTTTTTTATTATGGCTCATTTTTGAAATGTCTGGTCATAGCTTTTGCAGAATGACTTTGTCTGAAATCAGCCTGTTGCATTTATTTTAAGACTTGATGATCTGTCAAAACCAACAGCCAATATTTATTAAACTGCTGTTATCTTGCAATGGGATCATCAGATGTAACCATTGCAGTTTACCCACGGTTAGGATTTTTACATTTCCAGTGCTTCTTTGACAATGACACTAATGTGACTCTATCCAGCGTGCATTGTTGTGAGAACTCTATTTGGCCTATCATCATTGTGGGCATGAACATAATGGAGACTTTCATAGGATGCAATGGTTAATATTCAACATTAGTCAAAATTTGCTCTAGTCCTACCCTCGGAGCTCTACTGGGTTGGAAAAATATTTTAGGTAAGGACAACCATTTGGTAAAGTTTTAAAAATAAAGGCTACAAATAAATTTTCTGTAGCAAGAGTATTGCATACATAATAGAATAAATGTGCTTAAATATGAATACTATATATATTTGTAGCCAACATTTTATCAAACAAATATATATTCACTTCTATGTATCTTATATATATGCACATTTTTCCATAAATAAGGTAAATTTTAATTTTTTATTGAAATACTAGTTTTAATTCTGTTCTTAATTTTCTCTTAATAACTTCATAAATTGATCACTAAATATTCACATTTATACCACCAATTTAAGAAAAAAATACATATGTTTATATACACGTAGAGGTGTAAATACCGTATCAGGAAGCCTTTATGCATAATGATTGGTTACTGGTTAAATACACAACTCAGTGACAGAAAACAGTAAACATTTGTTTTCGTGTTCATGGATGCTCACGTTCACAATCCTCTGGCTGACCAAGGAAGGGCTCTGATGAGTCGTTCCTCTGCAGGGCACTGAGCTCACCTTCAGCCTACAGATATGAATTGTCTGAGGACAAGGCTGAACAGCAGTGACTACACATGACACAAGATTCTTGTGGCAGGTCACAGGAGTGAACAACATCCCAAATCAAACTGCACAGTTGAATTTAAGTCCAATAATTTCTAACATAGCTTCACACATTTTAAATATATTCCTTTATTTCAGTGAGTACACATTTTCAAGAAAATGTTTACTCCATTTAATTATAGAAGGGTTTGATCATTCCATGAACAAATAATTATGTTTTCAAACTTTACAATCCTGAAAATATTTGCAAATGTAAATTTGCATTAATAAGAAAATAAAGCTGGATGTGTTTCCAACATGTGGCTTCAAATATAATTTATTTAAATGGACTCATTGGGGTAAAAATCATTTTAACTTATGTAAATATCCCTTTTTGCTGTGCTTGTGTCCTATAGAGTTGCCCAATAAGAGTTCCTCCCGTGAGATTTGGAAATCAGAAAAGGAAGACTCAATATTATCCATTGGTAACTAAGACAGGTACAAGGACAGAGGTGAGGACTGGAGAAACACCTGGAAGGATGTTGCAGGAAGCTAAGAGCATCAGCACGCCTACCCCTAAGCTTCCAGACAGGACTGAGGACCACATGGTTAGAAAGCCCTTACTTTAGGGGCGGATGCATTCTGTTTTCTGAGGGAGAACCAGAGAATCCTGCCTCTAATATCAACTTTCCTGACTACTGTATCCTTGTCTTTGAAAGGCTGTAGTCTGAACGTTAATCATAGGCATTGGTTCATTCTTGTTATACCCAACAGAGCCAAGAAACCTAGTGGGGAAAGGCACTCAGGGTGCAAAATATTGCTGCTGGAATGCAATTGAAATAGGCCCTGTTATCCCATGGAACTAAGGTTTATGGTTTTTTGAATAAACTTAGAAATTGTCTCCCCCTCCCTGTCTTAAAACTCAAGATAGTTACATCTGTCTTACCTGAGTCCTTTTTTTCAGTAAACCAACCATCAGGCCTCCCAGATACTATTAAGAAGCTGAAACTTACATATCACTGAATTGGGACAGTGAGACATCAGAACCTTCACCCACTGTGATTGCATAACTGACCTCCTGCTTCTTCTTGACCAAATTATCTTCCTTACCCCTCCCTAATTCCTGTTTTCAACATTTCTTCCCTCCTATATAAACCCCTAATTAATTTTGTCAGAGAGATACAATTGAGAATGGCGTCCCATCTCCTCGGCTGCAGCACCTGATTAAAGCCTGTTCCTTGGCAATACTTGTTGTCTTCGAGATTGGCTTTCTGTGTGGTGAGCTGCAGGATCTACACCAAGTCCCTGGTATTTCAGTAAGAAAATTCTCTGCAACCTTCAGTGCTTTGGCTTATTGTAACCTGAAATCAAATTTATCCACAATTTCTGAGATAACTTGATATAACTCTAGGATTCACTTTGTCCACCACTGTTTACCAGTCTGAGCTTGCCAGCTCCCAACCCTTCCTAGTGCCAATGAACTTTCTCAA
The DNA here is from genome assembly GCF_000001405.40 of Homo sapiens. Classification (NCBI taxonomy): domain Eukaryota; kingdom Metazoa; phylum Chordata; class Mammalia; order Primates; family Hominidae; genus Homo; species Homo sapiens. The sequence continues at coordinate 208,163 of NW_012132915.1, forward strand.
AGTGCAATAGGTAATATTTCCCTTTTTCATGGAACACTGACTTTTTCTTTGTTCTTCCAACGTACTGAAGACCACTGAGTTTTCCTGTATGCCTCATTTGGCAAATATTTCTCTTCAAATAAAACATTAAATTTAGAGATTCATCTCTACATTTTATTTAGACTTCAGCAGTTTATTCTAATTCTCTGTATTAAGACTATTCCTGCTTAGAATATCTATAGTGGCTTCTTCTGCATTATGATTTCCAACTGAAGCCATAAACTAGACTCCTCAGGTGTCATGATCTCTGTTTTTATTAAATAAGGAGAAGCATTGCTATGTCTGTGCAGTTGGTGCTGAGAAAGAGAAAAGAATTAGGGTGCAGAGGTGACTTCATGTCCCCATCTACCAACACCATCAGAGCGTGGCTGCATCTGAGGAACACTCTCAGCTGATGGAGGCATCAGGAGAAGCTGCTGGGGCAGCCCAGCCTCACACATCTGCTTCCCTGGGGGTTTATGTTTGGGTGTGTAACACTGTGGGAGGGTAACTATTATACTGTTGGCAGTAATAAGTTGCAAAATCTTCAGGCTGCAGGCTGCTGATGGTGAGAGTGAAATCTGTCCCAGATCCACTGCCGCTGAACTTTGATGGGACCCCACTTTGCAAACTGGATGCAGCATAGATCAGGGACTTAGGGGCTTTCCCTGGTTTCTGCTGAAACCAGGCTAAATAATTGCTAATGCCCTGACTCGCCCGACAAGTGATGGTGACTCTGTCTCCTACAGATGCAGACAGTGAGGATGGAGACTGGGTCATCTGGATGTCACATCTGGCACCTGAGATTGGAAACATAAAAACAAATGTCCACACAATTAATCATGTTGTAAGAGAATTTCCCTGAATAGTAAAGCAGTACTGAGCACCCTGGGCTGAGTAAACTGCTAGTGTTCTCCATCCTTACCTGGGAAACAGAGCAGCAGGAGCCCCAGGAGCTGAGCGAGGACTCTCATGTCCATGCTGTGTCCTGACTGGGTCTGATTCCTGCACAAAGTCTGACCAGCCTATTAATAAGGCTTCAGGGCAGGAGGTTGTGCTCTGGGAACATGCAAATGAGCAGGGGATGGGGCAGGCTGGGCACAGCTGCAGAGCTGGCGCATCTCAGTAACTCAGCACCAGCTCAGTGTCCCCACGTGTCCCAGGTAAGATCAAGGTAGCTCAAATTTGTCTGCAGAGAATGTGTTTCTACTGGGGACTATTTTGTTATGGGAAACATTTTATGGTTTCTTTTTGACAATTTGAAATATTCCTTGGGAGTCGATGGAGCAATGTATTTCATTGGTGTATGGGGATTATTTAGGAGAATATTCTTTTTTGTAGGAAACACATAGTAAAATTTTAGACCCTACAATTTTCAGGTCTTCAAAAGACTCTCATGTGATTTCTGTTAGGGAAGGTGGTACTTATCATATACTTGCAACATTTCTGTGAGTTTAACATTGCTCCTTTCTAAAAAAAAATTAAAAATAAAATTTATTCACATGATGCTACATATATTTGTAAATGTTAGGTAATGGTGTTATGCCATTGTTCTTACCACTGTAAGATCAAGCAATTTACTTCAGATACACTAAGTTGATACCGTGTTTCCTCAATGCATGCAGCAATTACAGATCCACCATTATCAAGAGCTCTAGGTCTCTTTAATATCCAGAGACTAAATGGGCTGCACCTTATTCCTGTTTTGCACCTTATTCCTGTTTTGGGCACCTTCATAGTCTACCTTCTTTTCTGCCATTAAGTATTATTTCCCAACATTCATCTCTCTTAGTGAGGGTGATCACTGCATGGAGCATGTCCCTGCCATGCACCATAGGTGACACTTTCTTCTTTTACTTTTTATCAGGGACATCATCCTGACCCAGACACCAAGATCCCTGTTAACATCTTTTGGAAAGAGGCACTCAATCTTTTATCAAGCAACTGCCCAGGTACATGGAGAAATCAGTTGGTTCCAGATGAAACTGGACAGGGATTTGCACTCGTTATATCTCATATCTCTAATGTGCCCAAAAATGTCCCGGCCTGGTTCCGTGGGAGGGGAAGTGGATCCAACTACATCAGCATCAGTGGGCTGCAGCCTAGGACTCCATAAAATTTTACTGATGCCTGACTAGGAGAGCCAAATCACAGTGCTGTAGCCTCTGCACAAACCTTCCTGCTGCTTTATAAGCTGCCTGAATTTTAAGGGAAATTGCTTATATTGGAAGAAAGGAAGAAAGCTCCATTTGTCCTCTAAATGTTTGCTGAAAATAAACTGACAAAAGGAAGATTAATAAGAGAAAAGGCAAACAAAATTCACTTAAAGTGCAGCAGGATATCATAGCAAGGTGATTACCCAGATAACTCAATGAGATCCAGGTGTTTATGTTTCCTTTCTAGGGAAGAGGTAATTGGGAAATGTAGGCAACCTGGAGAGAATAGATGAGAATAGAAATGCATCCTCAAAAGAACAGGTAATCACCTCCCTAGGTAAAGTATCAACTTTGAGTCTCTTCCATTTTTGATTCCTCTTTTGTGTTAATCTTCCTTGATATAAAAATTCTCAGGAAGAGTTTTCTTAAAAATTGGTTTCCTTCTGAAGAATTTGCTTTTAGGCAGGTAGGGGATATTTAGGAAAAGCCCCCTGTGCATTTCCTGCTTTCTAAATGCCTTTGGTTTTATATAATCATCATACAAATGCAGCACAGTTTGAGATGTTATTTTCTGGATTCCTTTACTTGCAACCCACCTGCCAAGATCCTGTTCCAGAGAGATGTGGCTACAGACTGAAAGAGCAGTTGTCCCCTCAACAACGTGGAGGTTGGGGCACTGACCACTGGTGCAGATGAAAACCTGTGTAGAACTTTTGCATCTCCAAGTTATGTAGTAATAGATTACTTTTGACTGGAAGCCTTAATGATAAAATAAATAGTTGATTAACCCTTTTTTATGTTATACATATTATATACTCTATTCTTCCAATAAAGTATGCTAAAGAAAAAATGTTATTGAGAAAACCTTAAAAATGAGAAAATATATTTAGTACTTATTAAGCGCTTGCTCACAGGTGACACACAGAAGAAAATATAAGTGGATCTGCAAATTTCAAACCCAAGTTATTCAAGGGTTAACTGTACCATGATGAATGTAGCAGTCCCCATCTATAGTCTAGGGCTTTTCCCTTTGCTGTATCTCTGCTCATTTCCAATGGCTATATATATGTCTTATGTGCTTCATGATCTTGGGCAGAGAGGTCTGCTTGCATGCCTTGCTGGCCAGATGGCCTGCAATGTGTATCTCTTAGGAAAGTGCTATGGTTTGACTGTGTCCTCCAGAATCCATCGTTGTAAAGTTAAATCTCAGTGAAATGGTATTGCCAGGTGGGGCCTATTGAGATGTGTTAGATCATGAGGGTGGAGCCCTCTAGTGGAATACCTTAATGCCACTATAAACAGGGTTTATGGGGCTGGAATCTCTCTGTCTCTTCTGCTGGTCTGTCATGTTAAGACATGGCCTTCGTTCCTTTGAAGGACTGAAAGCTCCAGGCGTCATCTTGAAAGCAGAGAAAGACGACCTTAACCTGCCCATGCCTTGATCTTAAATTTCCCATTCTCCAGAAATGTGAGAAAATAAATTTCTGTTCTTTATGAATTACACAGTGTCAAGGAACCTAACCTGTTATAGCAGCTTGAAAGAGAACAAGAGAGACAGCTCACAATCAGTGAGGACAGAATGAGGTGTATACATACCTTAGCTTCCTCGTCTCTCAGGTGGAATAGCCCAGAGGAATTTAGTCCATGTTTCCACATGTGGTTGATCTTCAGTTATCCTGAGTCAGGTGGGTTGTTGATGTGTCTTTTACCATTCATCTTCTGTTCCCTCCCTCACTTTCTTCCTTTCCTCCCAGTGTAAATTTGCTGCCTAAACAGGAATCCTCATTGCTGGTGGACCCAAACTAAGATAGTAAATAAAATCATTAATCTTTTGTATGAGGGGTATTTCTCATCTGAATTCTTTTATCATTTCCCTTTCTTTGACATGTAGGAATATTCAGGAAACACACAATTTTTTTTTTAACCAATCTATTTTAGATTGAATTTATGCGGTGATTTTTTGTGTGTGTGTGTTAAAACAAAAAATTACGTTGTAAGCCACTAACCAGCTGAACGGACTCCTCTTTTGGTAGAGAGAACTTCAAAGAAATCTGAAAAACTAGGTTAGGCCATGACTGGCAGGTGGGTTTAGATGTACCTCATTATATGGTCCTTCCTTTGGAGTTCAGACACAACTGACCAGCATTATCATTACAACAGAGATCTTTGGATTGACAAAACAGATGCTTTGTAGCAATAAGATACCATACTCCAACACGACAGATAATAGGCCCTGAAGAAAATCAAAATATTTTACCCTAAAAGTATTTCTTTGACATATTCTGAAGTGGCCCTGCAAGCTGCCTGTTGTGGGGGAAATTTGCATTCTGCAGAGAATCTCCTCCCCTTACTAAGTCTTTTCCAAAGAGTCTGACATTTTTTTTAAGGTCTGATAAACAACATTAGCCACCTACTTTGTTTGCTACCCATAGGATTCATCTAGGTGACAAGAACCTTTGCTTCCACACCCCCTTTTCTAAACTCAAGCATTTCTTTATGATGAATTCAAGTGTTTAGGCAGAGCTTAACTCTTTCAACCAGTTGGCAGTCAGGAAATCTTTGAATCCACCTATGACCTGGAAGCCCCTACTTCAAGCTATCCCACCTTTCCAGGACAAACTAATGTAAATCTTATATGTATTGATTTATGTCTTTCCCTGTAATTTCTGTCTCTCCAAAGTATTTAAATGTGTATTCTTGTCACCCTGGGCACATGTTTGCAGGACATCCTAAGGCTGTGTCACAGGCCATAAGCTTTGGGAAAATAAACCTATAAATTGATTGAGACCCGTCTCAGATACTGTTTTGTTTATACTGGTCACAAACTTAAAAATCCTCTAAAACAATCTACACATCAATAAATCTACATTAGAGACAGTGGAATGATCATACCTTAACAGTTAAAGCTCACAATTTAAAGGAACCTGAGTCTAAGATTTTGGCCAGCTCTCTTGCTTCATAAAAAATACTTCGTGATTTTTAAAATTTTACTTTAGAGAAAGGCAATTTGGGGGAATATATTTATTGTCAATGGGATGAATAATGTCTCTACCCTAAAAGATGTCCATGTCCTCATCTCTGGAACCCAAGTGTTACAGGAGTTATTAAGAAATTATTTTAGGCAGATAGGAAAAGAGTGTCCTTGGTAAGGTTTTCTTTCCTTTAAAGCAGCTCCAGAAACGTTTCTTGTCTAGCAGGAAAGCCCTGGCTCTTAGAGCCAGGCTGGGAAGCTTTGATTTGCAAATTCCGGCCATTAGAAACTGAGTCCAGCCAAACCTGTCAATTCCCACCATCTTCTTCCTTGCCCCCACATGTGCCTGACAACAAGGCTGCCCCCACATATCCCCATGTGTAGAGAATATTTTGGCACCCTGCATTTGCATATTAAAAGTCTTGTTGGGAAGGCCAGTTATTTTGCAGGCTTCATGAATGGCATGCCTGGTCAAACCAGTCCCTAGAGCCCTATATAAATCAGACACCACCTCCTCCAGCCTCCTCATATAAGAGCCACTTTTCTGCTGCAATGGAGTTTTGTCTTTGTTGGAATCCCTCCTCCCTCTGTCTCTGTGTGGGGGAGCTGTTTTCTTCTTCCTTCCTTCTTGCATATTAAACCTTTCTCTCCCTAAAACCACTCCACGTGTGTCTGTGTTGTTTTATCCAAAGTGGTGTGAGACCAAGAACCCTGGTGTTCCTCCAGTCAACGGAGCCGTATCATAAAAATTCTACCTTACATAGCAAAAAGAGAACTTGACAGATATAAGTGAAGAATAAGCGACCCAGTTATCTAGATGAAACCAATATGATCACAAAGGTCCTTAAAATAAAAGAGGAGGCTTGCAGTCAGAGAGGAGCTGGGACAATGGAGAGGGATGTGGTTTGAAGAGGGAACGGGTTACTCTGCTACAAAAAAAAATATGACCACGGGGGTACTTTGCTTAAAAAATATCCCAGAATGTCCTGCTATACTTAGAGAGCATTTGCTTCCCAAATAGAAAATGAAGGCCTCCTTCATTTCACACCAGTTTCTGCTACATGCACTGTATCGCTCTGTTGCTTGGTGTCTACGCACTTAGAACTGCTCTGTCTTCTTTCCGAAATGACTTTCTTCATTATGTAATGTACATTTCTGTCACTGGTAACATTCTTGGCTTTGTAGTCTACTTTATCTGATATTAGTATTTGCTACTGATTCATTTTATTAATTTTGCATACTATGCCATTTTCTTTTCTTTTATATTGAGTCTACTTCTAGTGTCATATTTGATGTGAGTGTCTTATAGACAGTATACTGTTCGGACATTCCTTTTTGATTCATCAATTGCTGTCTGTTATAATTTACTAATTTGCATATTTAATATATCGATAATTATTGATATACTAAGATTTAAGTCTTTGCTCTACTTTTTTGCTGTATCTTTTTTTGCTTCTCCGTTTTCTTTTTGCTGCCTTCCTTTGGGTTACTTGAACATTTTTAGAATTTCATTTTAATTTTACCTAATTTGAGGGTATCTCTTTTTATAGTGATTTTTAAATTGGTTGTCATGGTATTTCCTTTATATCCATAGCTTCTCACAGTATGTTGGTGTCATAATATTACCATTTAAAATAAATATAAAATTTTACCTTGTTTTATGTCATTTTTCTTCCCCCATTAGTAATAGATTGTGCACATATACTCATGTACCCTTCACACCATCTCTAGCCTACTTATAATACCTGACGCGATATGTATACATGACTTAACCTGTGTGGATTCAACCAAGTGGTACTAAGCACATGGTGAAGTCAAGTTTTTCTTTTTGGAACTTTGTGGATTTTTTTTCTATATATTTTTGATCCAGGTTTAGTTGAATCCATGGATGCAGATCCCATGGATAGAGAGATGACTATACTGCTCCTTATAACTCTGAGGATCAACTCTGTGGTTCCTCCATTCTGGGCTGGCTGAACTGATCTCTGCTGAGCCTGCTCATGTGTCTGCAGTTACCCTGTGGTTCAGTTGTGACTAGATGGTCTGATATGACTTGTTTAACCTATCTGGAAGCTGATTTGATGTGCAGGTTGGACAACATTTGGTTTCGGTTTACATAGGTCAGGGAGATGGGGCCTGTTCCCCAACCTCTATTCAGTTCGTTTCTAGATCAACTCAGGAGTTCGTCTATTCATTGTAGGTTGTTTGGGGGAAATTCCACACAGAACATTGGTAATGAAGAAGCTGAACTGCTGTCATCAGTTATTGTTATCATCTGAAATGCATCATATATTACCAAAGTCTCCCCAGGGTGGCCCAACAGTGCAGCTCAGCTCACCCCATCCAGTCACTTCCCTGGTTGCCTGCAGGTGTGAGAAAGGCAATGTGCTCAGTCACAGGAAAGACAGGGGCCCTCCCTGGTGCTGAAACCTGCAGATAGTTTTCACACAGTTTCATTCCAAAATACAAAGACTTCATTTTCTTTGTCTTTAAAATAGTTATACATTTTCTTTCTATAATGTCCCCATGCTTTTCAACTAATTTGAATTTTCAGAACTGGAAGTATTTATTATTTCTGTGTTAGATGCTCTTAGTCACTTATGGCAAGAGTGAGTTAATAGAGACAGGATATGGATTAGCCATAGAACAATACAGAAGTGTGTGGATTCAGATAGGATAAAGATCAAAGCGGTGACAAATACATTCTTTTGAAGCGGATTCTCATAGGTCACCAGTCAATGTCCGCATTCAAGGTGCGATGATGTGTCAGCTACATTGTGCAAATGGTCAGCTCTGCAGAGTAAACTTGGACAGCACACTACAGGACCAAAATTACCTGTAAAGGTATGGGGAAAATAAACCATCATAGAAAAAATAGTGTGAAGGAGTTCTCGGTTATTTATACTTGGATATCAAGCAGAACACTATAATCAATGAAGCTATAACCTAAAAACTTTAAGACTTTTAAAGAGGTTTCCCTTTTCTCAGGGTATTTCTCAGGAAAAAATTTATAAATTATGGATAAACTACTTGCACAATTAGCTACAATAAATCCCTTCCCTGCACTCATCCTTTGGTTGGCCTCATTCTAAATGGACTCAGGTGTTACCCATGTGTCTTGCTCAGGCCAATAGGATAATAGCAGATGTGACAGAATTGGAATATTGGAAAGGGCTTGCACATCGAAGCTTTCCTCTCTTTCACAGTGCTTGGAAACCCTAAGGTCACAATGAGAATAAGCCTGTGCCCATCTCCATTCAATGTCAGTGGCATGGCTGCTCTTAGGTCTATTATTTGTTCTTAAAATGTGTGTTCAGTTTGTTATAAACATGTAAGAAATTACCTGCAAATTTATCAACTTAAGACTACACCCATTTATAATCTCTCAATTTCTGAGTCAGCAGTCAGCACATGGCTTTGCTGGATCCTGCCCATTGGATTTCACAAGACTGTGCCACAGTGTAGACTGTTCTTCATTCTCACCTGAGACTCCCTGAGAAGAGAGATATTTTAGAGCTCTTTCAGGTAGTTGCAGAGCCCATGCCTTAGCACCTCTGTGACTCAGGGCTTCAGCTTCTTACTGGCTCTTGGCTCAAGGCTGCTCTCAGGTCCCAGAGGCTGTGGACAATTCCCTGCCATGTGATGCTCACACAGGCAATGCCCACATGGCTGGTTGTTTGTTCAAGGCCAGCAGAAGGTTTCAGAGAGTGTCTCTTTCCAGTCTGCTATGACAGAGGCTTACAGAATACAATACAATCATTGGAAAGACATCTCATAACCTCTGCCATACCATATGGGTTAGAAGCAAGCCTAAGTTCTACCTGTTCTCTGTGGAGGTAGATCACACAATGCCATGACTCACTGGAGACAGGTTTCTGCTAGGGTGTTCTGGCATCTTTAGTTTCCTCAAATATCAGGGTACTCGTACTGAGTGTGAAATCTCTCCTACATCTACTTCATCGTGCTGTGTCTGACTGATCAGACATTTGACACATGACTTTTTTTTTTTTTTGTGACGGAGTCTCACTCTGTCGCTGAGGCTGGAGTGCAATGGCATCATGTCGGCCCACTGCAACCTCTGTCTCCTGGGTTCAAGCAATTCTCCTGCCTCAGCCTCCCGAGCAGCTGGGATTACAGGCACCCACCACCATGCCAGGCTAGTTTTTATATTTTTAGTAGAGACGGGGTTTCACCATGTTGGCCAGGCTGGTCTCAAACTCCTGACCTCCGGTGATCCACCCATCTCGGCGCCCCAAGATGGGATTATAGGGATGAGCTACCATGCCTAGCCTACTTTAGTTTTTAAGTAGATTTAATGAAATCTATTTAGTAGCCAAAAGCCAAGAATGCCAATAGTTTTACCTGGCTACTCTCTGAAACAATGGTATTAAAAAGGGTCTTTCCAGCCCCTTTCCAGCAGAAAGACAGGTGCTAAGAAACAGTGGAAGTGTGAAGGTGGGGGAAGGGACTGAAACAGTTTTTATATACCTAAACTAACCCAGCTGCATGTAAACCAGTAACTACTCATCAAAATAAAATACAGAAAGCATATTAGTTTTGGTTTGGTGTGAACCAGCCTTAAATACAAAGTTGTTACACTGAATGGGTTTAATTGACCAAAATGCGTAGGGAAGGCAGAAAGGATTAGGATGCCCTTCTACTCAGCTTTATCTGCTGTCAAGTCTGGTTCCTCAGGGGACACATGGATCCCCTCCATTGTCCTGCAGATTCTGCCAGGCCAAGGCTGTTAAATCTGGCGGGGTCTCATGTGTGGACTTCTGGGTGTATACAGGGAGAAACTAGAGAAAGGCCGAGCAGATTTTTACTGCATGTAGGTAATCTACGTGGGCTTTTAGAGAAAAAAGGCTTTAGATAAAAAGTGTTTGACAAAGTCACACATGGTTTGTAAAAAAACAAAAAATAAAATACAACTTGAAAACTCTTGGAGAAGTGACACTTTAGTTTCCCAAATCACTCTTCTTCATACACTTCCACTTAGCTTTTTTTCACCTTCTAGCTCTGTGGTCTTAGAAGGACATGCACTTAAAATAATTTGTTTCCATAGGAATCCAACAAGTAAAAGCATAAACAACATCAAATAAACTACATCATTAGCATAGAAGCATGTCAAAGAAACTGAGATTAGATTTTGAGTTTTGGCACAAGTATTAGAGAAATAGAGAAAAGATTTAAAAGATAGAATAAGACTTACACAAGAAAGCAGGACAGCAATACGACAATTGAACCTATCATAGAATAATAGGTTGTGATAATGGATGGTGAGAAGAAATGCATTGGACAGACATGCATGGGCATGATTGATTTGAGCAATTTAGCATGGATCAAGACAAAATCTTTAGGATTTAAAGGGCTGTGAGCTGGGTAGTAAAAAGCCCCATTTTAGCACCTCTTGGGGCTGTAGATGGAAAGAACTTGGATTTAAAACTATTTTCAATAAGTGTCTGCTAAGTGCTAAGTATTATAGCTATAAGGATACCTAAATTAATAGAAGCACATATTATCTGTTGGATATATTCTAAATCTTTTACCTTGTTTAAATTGTAAACCGACCTATGAGGTAGAACCTATTATTGTCACAGCATTGCGGGTATAGAAAAGGAGGCAAAGGGGGGTTAAGTTACTTTACTAATGTCACACAACATGTAAGCGGTAAAGCTCCATCCCCAACCCCAAGGGTTTGACTTCAGGGCCTGCCAAGACAACATCTGGACTGTTGCATGGATCTTGCCTGGCTGTACATGAAGCTCTAATTCCAGGATGGATGAAGATTCCATTAGAACTTGGAGTAGCATTAATAAAATTGCTTCCTTGAGACCAGGCGAAGTGTCCAGAAAGCAAAGGAGTTTAACTGCTTAAAGGAAAGGTGCAGATTTGTAGGAAATGAAGCTCTGGACTGTGAACAGAGTTTTTCAAAACAATTAAGGAGAAGAGAAATTGAGTCTAGTTTGATAGATGTGTTGTGCAGAGTGAGTGTAGTGGAGATTAGAGAATCAGCCAAGGAATTATCCCCTGCCTTCATGGATGGCATCAACATCTGTCTTCATGGCAATTGTATTGGCAGCCTGAGTGTCAGAGCCTGGGTCCTGCCCATCCATGCAGCTGTGGTCACCTTTGCACCTGCAGTGCTGGAGTTACTTGAGTGTTACTCTTTGAGGTAGCTTCAGGACACTTGGTAAAAATCACTAAGTGGCAAGTGAAAGGCTTGGAAGAAAAGTTCTAATCAGCTCTTCATTCCCACCTGATGCAATTTTTGCTGCTGCTGGGACCCCAAGTTCTTTGTCTCCTCCCCGCCGCTTTTTTTTTTTTTTTTTTTTTTTTGAGACAGAGTTTTGCTTTTGTTTCCCAGGCTGGAGTACAGTGGTGTGATCTCGGCTCACTGCAACCTCTGCCTCCTGGGTTCAAGTGATTCTCCTGCCTCAGCCTCCCAAGTAGCTGGGATTACAAGTGTGTACCCCCACGCCTGGCTAATTTTGTATTTTTAGTAGAGATGGGGTTTCACCATGTTGGTCAGGCTGATTTCAAACTCCTGACTTCAGGTGATCCACCCACCTTGGCCTCCCAAAGTACTGAGATTATAGGTGTGAGCCATCGCGCCTGACCCCTTGCCTCTTTTGTAAATAGAAATCAACACCAGGCCAAACAGAAATTGTCTCAGGCAAGGTTTAATAGGTTTGTGGCAAGAGCAAAGCAAGGGAGCAGCCTATGGGTAAGAGATCCTGGTGGCTATTCCTTGAAGTGCCCAGCTCTTACCATTTTAAGGAAGCTGAGGCGGAAAAAGGAATGACATACAAGCATGGTTAGGCAAAGTTTTCTTTGCATTTGTGCAGTGGAGCGTCATGCTCTAACATATATAACATGGTGAGGAAATGGAGGATAAGCCCTGCCTTGGGTGGATATTTTAGTATTACAATGAGATTATAATGAGGAAAAATCAGTGAAAGGTCAGTTCTGGGGACCATCCCACCTTCAGCTGGCTAGATCTCATTTGGTGCTTTGGGGAAATGCCAGCTCTATCAGCAACCTTGGAAGATGGTCAGGTTCTTATCAGGAATGTTAGAGTTCCACTTTAGAAACCTTGGGAGGCTGGGCACAGTGGCTCACGCCTATAATCCCAGCACTTTGGGAGGCTGAGGAGGGCAGATCACTGGAGGTCAGCAGTTTGAGACCAGCCTGGCCAACATGGTGAAACGCTGTCTCTACTAAAAGTACAAAACATAGCCGGGCATGGTGGTGTGCACCTGTAGTCCTAGCTACTCTGGAGGTTGAGGCAGGAGAATCGCTTGAACCTGGAAGGCATAGGTTGCAGTGAGTGTAGATCGTGCCACTGCACTGCATCCTGAGTGACAGAGTGAGACTCTATCTGAAGAAAAAAAAAAAATGAAATCTTGAGATACTCAGGCCCTATCATTTTCCTACAGCAAGCGAGGAGTTGCCATTCAAAAGAGGCACAACTGGTGGCCACTTCAGGAAACTTTTGCATCCAAAAGCTGAGTCTGGTGCACCTAGTGACATTGCCACAGACTCCAGTCAGCATGCATAGAAATAGTGGATACCTGGATTTCCATCGAGCAAGCAGGCTCTAAAGGTCTTAAATAAATGCCTTGGACATGTATAGTTGTATAGATTCCAAGGCTACCGTTGCAAAGGGCTCCATTCAAAGTTGGCAACTTTGTTCATGATTTTGACTAAGGTGACCAAAAAAAAAAAAAAAAAAAAAAGACTCAGGGGGACAGTGCAACTAGGTGAGAACCCAGTGGCTTTCCTGAGCTTATTTGTCTTGCATTTTTGTTGACATGGATTGTTGTTCACATTGTCTTCCTCTGGCAGGTCCACCTGGAAAGCATTATATATTTAGCAAGAAAAAAGGAGGCTGTGAATGATGTCACTGCGGACTGCGTATATTCCCTGTTGCAAATGTCAGATCCATGAAGCATAAAGTGATTAACTAGAAGATATTAAATTCCTTACAAATTGTTGAAAAGCCTTAAAGAACAGGCTCCAGTCAAAGCCTCTAGAACAATTCCAAGAATCATACTGCTGGCACAGGCTGGGGAGGAGCTCCTACTGCTTGAGACATTCAAGCTGTCTTTTGCAGCAGAAAAGAGACCAGCTCTTCTCACTACTGCCCCCAGGAGGACAGCAGCTCTGCTATCAACTCTCAACTGCTGGAAATCTGACCCCTTTCTCTGACTGCCCATCAGATGTGTCACTACAGAGTCGTTTTGGATTGAGATGAGGGAGGGGAAATGTCTGATTTCACTCAAATGTGCTCATTTTCCTGGTCTGGGTCTCAGCCAGGCAGCACAGTCCTGTGGGCACAATATCTTCACTTGCCAGGTTCCTATAAAATGAGAGTATCTTTCTTGACTGTGGAAAATATGGAGGCGAGGAGGGTCAAGCAATAGCAAAAGGAGTACTTGGAGTTGCCTGAGCTTCCACTCTGGTTTCCCCAAATGTTTTCAATCCATTTAATTCATGATAATAAACACCTTTCTGCCTAACCAGCCATAATCGCTTTTCTTAGATCCAAATGATTCAGTGATAAAAGTAAAGAGAAAAAATAAATACACTTTTCAACGTTGAAGCTGACCAGGTGTCTGCCTCTGGTGTTTACCCCTCCACATCCCACTATGCATTTCATCTTCCCTTTGCCTCACTGGAGATCCAAGTGCAAGTAATGCTTCACATGACTGTGATCCCTAGAACTTCATCCTGATGACTGTTGAAATCTTCTCTGAGTTTTACCAGTGGAAATGGCAATAAATAGAAAGATTCCAGAAGGTCCCCTAGGGTCCATATTTTCTGTACTTCCTCTCTAAAATATGTAAAATCAGTTATTTTTGCTCTTGCTTTATATGGGCTACATCTATGGCCCCAGCACACATCTGAATGCCCTGTGTTGACAACTTATCCAGTATTGTATTAAGTCTAAATGGTGACATGCTTATCATATCATTTCTTCCAATTTCTTGGAATAATTGTCATGTCAATTCTTTGCATTAAGAACCATCAGCCAGAAAACCACAGCCCTGAGAAAATAGAAATAGAGTATTTCAAGCTGTTCAGTTGGCACAAGAATGATGAATCTGCAGCTCATTTTCAAGATATAAATATTCTGTTTATGGAAGTAACAGCACCATTCATGATTAGTGTTTCAGAGCCTCCACCACTTCTGACAGCATAGCAATTCAATAGCACAAGGGTTTGTGTGACAGCTTTGCTTGACTAATAATGGGTTTTTCCCTGTCTATAGGGAAAGCTGCACCTGTGCACATGACAAGAGCATGAGCTACATTTTGCTTCACTTTTTTTGAGGCAAATAAGTTGCTTGATCCAAAGCCATATTATGGAAGAACTTCCTGACTCTGATGAAAACTCCTTGAAAATCCACAAATAATATTTTATGCAGAAACATAACCGAAAAGGAAGGCAAATCCATATATAGTAAAATAACCACTGCCATCCTCATGTTCCATGAGGTCCACTAGAATCACCTGATACCAGTAATTAGTCTGAGCCCTGATGTGTGGTACAATGTTAAGGGTTCTGGAGGGGTCAGTTTTCTTGGCAAATTGGGTGTTCAGAAGAGCCAGTAGCCCTGTACATCTCAGTTAGTTGAAAGTCATATTATTGAGTCTCCACAGGGACCTCCATAACACTGGTTCGTGAGGCTAGCTGGGAAAGCTGGAAGAGGTAACTGAAGTCCATATGTTGAATCATCCTCATTATTAAAAGCCCCCTGGTCGTTAATGGCATTTCAATTAATATTCACTTGGAAAGCTTCTTATTCTTGATTATGGCTCATTTTTGAAACTTCTAGTCATAGCTCTTACAGAATGACTTTGTCTGAAATCATCCTGTTGCATTTCTTTTAAGGCCTGATGATCTGTCAAAACCAACAGCCAATATTATTAAACTGCTGTTCTCTTTGCAACGTGATCATCAGATGTAGGCCTTGCAGTTTACCCACTGTTATGAGTTTTACATTTCCAGGGCTTCCTTGACAATGGCACTGATGTGACTCCATCCAGCATCCATTGTTGTGAGAACTCTATTTGGAATATCATCATTGTGGGCATGAACATAATGGAGACTTTTATAGGATGCAATGGTTAATATTCAACATTAGTCAAAATTTGCTCTAGCCTTACCCTTGGAGCTCTACTGGATTGGAAAAATATTTTAGGTAAGGACAACCATTTGGTAAAGTTTTAAAAATAAAGGCTACAAATAAATTTTCTGTAGCAAGAGTATGAATTAGGTGTCATCACAAATACCATTTTTTTTGTGTGGAATGTAACAATTATTTAAATGTATATAATTTAGATAATATTTTATAAATAAAATATGTATATATTGCATATATAATAGAATAAATGTACTTAAATATGAATACTGTACGTAGTTGTAGCCAACATTTTATCAAATAAATATATATTCACTTCTATGTATCTTAAATATATATGCACTTTTTTCCATAAAGAAGGTAAATTTTAATTTTTTATTGAAATACTAATTAGTTTTAATTTTGTGTTTTTCTCTTAATAACTTCATAATTTGATTACTAAATATTCATATTTATACCACCAATTCAAGAAAAAATATGTATGTTTATATAGGTAGAGGTGTAAATACTGTATCAGGAAGTGTTTATGCATTAATTACGGTAACTGGTTAAATGTACAACTCAGTGGCTGATAACAGTAAACATTTGTTTTCATGTTCATAGATGCTCATGTTCACAATCATCTGGCTGATCAAGGAAGGTCTCTGCTGAGTGGCTCCTCTCAGCAGAGAGGAGCCTGTAGATTGTATTCAGCCTGTAGATATCAGTTGTTTAACGACAAGGCTGAACAGCAGTGACTACACATGACACAAGATTCTTGTGGCAGGTCACAGTAGTGATCAACATCCCAAACCAAACCGCACAGTTGAATTTAAGTCCAATAATTTCTAACATAGCTTCAAACATTTAAAATATATTCCTTTATTTCAATGAGTATAAGTTTTTAAGAAAATGTTTACTCCACTTAATTGTAGAGGTGTTTGATCATTCCATAGACAAATAATCATGTTTTCAACCTTCACAATCCTGAAAATATTTGCAAATGTAAGTTTGCATTAATAAGAAAACAAAGCTGGATGTGTTTTCAACATGTGGCTTCAAATATAATTTTTTTAAATGACCTTTTTGGGGGAAAATCATTTTAACTTATGGAAATATCCCTCTTTACCTCTCATGTCCTATAGGGTTGCCCAATAAGAGGGTCCCCCATGAGATTTGGAAGTGAGAAAAGGAAGACTCAGTATTATCCATTGGTACCTAAGAGGCAGAGAGACAAAGGTGAGGACTGGAGAAACACCTGGAAAGATGCTCTAGGAAGCGAGAACTTCAGCAATTCCAGACTTAAACTTCCAGACAGGACTGAGGACCACATGGGTAGAAAACCCTTACTTCAGGGGTGGATACATTCTGTTTTCAGTGGGAGCACCAAAGAATGCTGCTTCTAATATCAACTTTCCTGAATACTATATCCTTGGTTTTGAAAGGTTGTAGTGTGAATGTTAATCATAGGAATTGGGTCATTCTTGTCATACCAAACAGAGCCATGAAACCAGAGGGGAAAGGCACTCAGGGTGAAAAATATTGTTTCTAGAATGCAATTGAAATAGGCCCTATTATGCCATGGAACTAATGTTTATGGTTTTTTGAATAAACATAGAAATTGACTTCCCCGATCTTAAAACTCAAGATAGTTACATCTGTCTTACCTGAGTTCTTTTTTCAGTAAACCAACCATCAGGCCTCCCAGATACTATCAAGGAGCTGAAACTTACATATCACTGAATCAGGACAGTGGGACATCAGACCCTTCACTCATTATGACTGCATAACTGACCTCCTGCTTCTTGTTGACCAAATTATCTCCCTTAACCCTCCATAATTCCTGTTTTCCCACATTTCTTCCGTGCTATATAAACCCCTAATTTTTGTTGGTCAGGGAGATACATTTGAGAATGGTGTCCCATCTCCTCAGCTACAGCACCTGATTAAAGCCTTTTCCTTGGCAATACTTGCCTTAGTGATTGGCTTTCTGTGTGGTGAGCTGCAGGATCTACGCTGAATCCCTGGTATTTCAGTAACAAAACACTCTGCAACCTTCACTGCTTTGGCTTCTTGTAACCTGAAATCAAATTTGTCCACAACTTCTGAGATAACTTGATATAATTCTAGGATTCACTTTGTCCACCACTGCTTCCCAGTCTGAGCTTGCCAGCTCCCAACCCTTCCTAGTGCCAATGAACTTTCTCAAAGAGCCATAGGTAATATTTTCCCTTTTTCATGAAACACTAACTTTTTCTTTGTTCTTGCCACATATTGAAGACCACTGAGTTTTCCTGTATGCCCCATTTGGGAAATATTTCTGTGTAAATAAAACATTACATTTAGAGATTCATCTCTACATTTTATTTAGACGTCAGTAGTTTACTTTAATTCTCTGTATTAAGACAATTCCTGCCTAGAATATCTATAGTGGCTTCTTCTCTGTTATATAAAGTCCAACTGAAGCCATAAACTAGACTCCTCAGGTGTCATGATCTCTGTCTGTATTAAATTAGGAGAGGCATTGCTATGTCTGTGTAGTTGGGGCTGAGAAAGAGAAAAGAATTAGGGTGCAGAGGTGACTTCATGTCCCCTTCTACCAACACCATCAGAGTGTGGCTGCATCTGAGGAACAATCTCAGCTGATGGAGGCATCAGGAGGAGCAGCTGGGGCAGCCCAGCCTCACACATCTGCTTCCCTGGGGGTTTATGTTCGGGTGTGTAACACTGTGGGAGGGTAACTATTATGCTGTAGACAGTAATAAGTTGCAAAATCTTCAGGCTGCAGGCTGCTGATTGTGAGAGTGAATTCTGTCCCAGATCCACTGCCGCTGAACCTTGATGGGACCCCACTTTGCAAACTGGATGCAGCATAGATCAGGCGCTTAGGGGCTTTCCCTGGTTTCTGCTGATACCAGCCTAAATCATTTCTAATGCCCTGACTTGCCCGGCAAGTGATGGTGACTCTGTCTCCTACAGATGCAGACAGGGAGGATGGAGACTGGGTCATCTGGATGTCACACCTGGCACCTGAGATTGGAAACATAAAAACAAATGTCCACACAATTAATCATGTTGTAAGAGAATTTCCCTGAACAGTAAAGCAGTACTGAGCACTCTGGGCTGAGTAAACTGCTAGTGTTCTCCATCCTTACCTGGGAACCAGAGCAGCAGGAGCCCCAGGAGCTGAGCGGGGACCCTCATGTCCATGCTGTGTCCTGAGTGGGACTGATTCCTGCATGAAGTGTGTCCAGCCTATTAATAAGGCTTCAGGGCAGGAGGCTGTGCTCTGGGAACATGCAAATGAGCAGGGGATGGGGCAGGCTGGGCGCAGCTGCAGGGCTGGCTCATCTCAGTAACTCAGCAGCAGCTCAGTGTCCCCAGGTGTCCCAGGTAAGATCAGGGTAGCACAGATTTGTCTGCAGAGAATGGGTTTCTACTGGAGACTATTTTGTTACGAGAGACATTTTTTAGATTTTTTTTGACAATTTGAAATATTCCTCAGGAGTCGGTGGAGTATCATATTTCATTGGCGTATGGGGAGTATATAGGAGGATATTCTTTTTTTGTAGGAAACACATAGTAAAGTTTTAGACGATAGAATTCTAAGGTCTTTAAAAGACTATTGTATAATTCCGGTTAGGGAAGGGGGTATTTATTGTATACTTGCAACTTTTCTGTAAGTTTATCATTGTTGCTTTCTAAAAAAAATTAAAAATAAAATATATTGACATGATGATGCATATATTTGTAAGTATATGCAGCTAGAGAGAAAAAACAGATCACCTACAAAGGGAAGCCATCAGACTAACAGAAGACCTCTCAGCAGAAGAGATTGGGGGCCTATATTTAACATTCTTAAAGAAAATAAATTCCAACTAAGAATTTCATATTTGGACAAACTAAGCTTCGGAAGCAAAGGAGAAATAAGATCCTTTTCAGACAAGCAAATGCTCAGGAAATTTGTTACCACCAGACCTGCCTAACACAAGCTTCTGGAAGAAGCACTAAATATGGAAATGAAACACCGTTATCAGCCACTATAAAAACACACTGAAGTACACAGACCAGTGACATTATAAAGCAACCACACAAACAAGTTGGCAAAATAACAGGCTAACAGCATGATGGTGGTATCAAATCTAACATATCAATATTAACCTTGAATGTCAACAGGCTAAACGCCCCACTTAAAAGACACAGGGTGGCAAGCTGGATAAAGAAGCAAGACCAAATGTTATGCTGCCTTAAGGAGACCCATCTCACATGCAATGAAGCCCATGGACTCATATAAAGGGATGGAGAAAAATCTACCAAGCAAATGGAAAACAGAAAAAAACCAGGATTTTAATTCTAATTCAGATGAAACAGACTTTAAGTCAACAAAAATCAAAAAGACAAAGAAGGGCATTACATAACAGTAAAGGGTTCAATTCACCAAGAAGATCTAGTTACTCTAAATCTATATGCTGCCAGCTCAAGATCACCTAGATTCATAAAGAAAGTTCTTAGACACTTTGAAGGAGACTTAGATTCCCACACAATAATAGTGGGAGATTTCAACACCCCACTGACAGTATTATACAGATTATAATCTGTATAATTAATTTTCTGAGGCAGAAAATTAACAAAGGTATTCAGGACTTGGACTCAACCCTGGATCAAATGGACCTTATATAAATCTGCAGAACTCTTCACCCCAAAACAACAGAATATACATATTCTCATCACCACATGGCACATATGCTAAAATTGACCACACAATCGGACATACATCAATATTCAGCAAGTGCAAAAGAACCAAAATCATGCCAACCTCTCTCGGACCACAGCAAAATGAATGTAGAATTCAAGACTAAGAAAATCACTCAAAACCATGGAAATTAAACAACATGCTCCTGAATGACTTGGGTAAATAATGAAGTTAAGGCAGAAATCAAAACGTTCTTTGAAATGAATGAGAACAAAGATACAATATACCAGAATCTCTGGGACACAGGTTAGGCAGTGTTAAGAGGGAAATTTATAGCACTAAATGCCCACATCAGAAAGTTATACCTCAGATTAACAGCCTAATATCACAACTAAAAGAACTAGAGAAGCAAGGGAAAACCAATTCCAAATCTAGCAGAAAACAAGAAATAACCAAAATCAGAGTTGAACTGAAGTAGATAAGACACACAAAAAAATTCAAAAGATCAATGAAGCCAGTGCCTGTTTTTATTTTGAAAAAGCTAATGAGATAAATAGACCACTAGCTAGACTAATAAAGAAGAAAAGGGTGAGTATCCAAATACATAAAATTAGAAGTGACAAAAGGACATTATCACTGACCCCACAGAAATACAACTAACCATCAGAGACTACTATGAACACCTCTATGCACAATAACTAGAAAATCTAGAAGAAATAGATAAATTCCTGGATGCATACACCCTCCCAAGACTGAACCAGAAAGAAATTGAGTCCCTGAAGTGAGCAAAAATGAGCTTGTAATTGAATCAGTAATAAATAGCCTACCAACCAAAAAAATCCCAGGTCCAAATGGATTCACAACTGAATTCTATCAGATGTACAAAGAAGAGCTGTTACCATTCCTACTAAAGGTATTCCAAAAAAGTGAAGAGGAAAGGCTGGGTTTGGTCACTCATGCCTGTAATTCCAGCACTTTGGGAGTCCGAGGTGGGTGAATCACCTGAGGTCCGGAGTTCGAGACCAGCCTGGCCAACATGGTAAAACCCCGTCTGTACTAAAAACAGAAAAATTAGGCTGGCATGGTGGCATGCGCCTGTAATCTCAGCTACATGGGAGGCTAGGGCTGGAGAATTGCTTGAACCCGGGAGGTGGGGCTTGCAGTGAGCCGAGATCACATCACTGCACTCCAGCCTGGGCAACAGAGTAAGACTGTGTCTCAAAAAAAAAAAAAAAAAAAAAAAAAAAAAAAATATATATATATATATATATATATATATATATATATATATATATATATATAAAATCAAGGAGGAGGGACTCCTCCCTAACTCATTCTATGAGGCCAGCATCATACCAAAACCTGGCAGAGATGCAACAACAACTTCAAGCCAATATGGTTGATGAATATCGATGCAAAAATCCTCAGCAAAATACTAGCAAATCAAATCCAGCAACATATCAAAGAGCTAATCTACCATGATCAAGAGACTTTATCCACAGGATATAAGTTTGGTTCAACATATGCAAATAAATAAATATAATTCATCACACAAACAGAACTAAACACAGAAATGGCTTGATCATCTCAATAGATGCGGAAAAGACATTTGATAAAATTTAACATCCTTTATGTTAAAAACTCTCAACAAACTAGATATTGAAGGAACATACCTCAAAATAATAAGAGACATTTAGGACGAAGCCATAGCCAGCATCACACTGAGTGGGCAAAAGTTAGAAGCTTTCCCCTTGAAAACTGTAACAAGACAATGATGCCCTCTCTCCACCAATCCTAACAGCATGGTGTTAGAAGTACTGACCAGAGCAATCAGGCAAAAGAAGGAAATAAAAGGCACCCAAACAGGAAGAGAGGAAGTCAAACTATCCTTGCTGCATATGACATGATTTCCTTTTTTTTTTTGAGACAGAATCTTGCTCTGTCACCCAGGCTGGAGTGTCGCAGTATAATCTCTGCTCACTGCAACCTCCACCTCATGGAGTCAAATGATCCTCCATCCTCAGCCTCCTGAGTAGCTGGGATTACAGGTATGCACCACCATGCTCAGCTAACTTCTGTAGTTTTACTAGAGATGGAGTTTCACCACGTTGACCAGGCTGGCCTCAAACTCCTGATCTCAAGTGATCCACCCACCTTGGCCTCCCAAGGTGCTGGGATTACAGGCACTAGCCACTGCGCCTGGCCTCACATGAATATATCTCTAGAGAACCCCATAGTCTCAGCCCAAAAGCTACTTAAGCTGACAAACAACTTCAGCCAAGTTCCAGGATACAAACTCAATGTACAAAAATTACTAATATTTCTGTGCTCCAAGAAGAGCCAAGCTGAGAGCCAAATCAATAATGCAATAACATTCAAAATTGCCACAAAGAGAAAGAAAATACCTAGGAATGCAGCTAGCCCAAGAGGTGAAAGATCTCTATAAAGAGGACTATAAAACATTGCTCAAAGAAATCAGAAATGACACAATTAAATGGAAAAACATTCCATGTTCATAGACAGGAAGAATGAATTTCGTTATAATGACCATATTGCCAAAAGCAATTTATATATTCAATGCTATTATCATTAAAGTACCATTGTGATTATCTACAAACTAGAAAAAAACTGTTTTAAAATTTATATGGAACCAAAAAAGAGCCCAAATAGTCAAAGCAATTGTAAACAAAAAGCACAAAGCTGGAGGCATTACACTGCCTGACTTCAGACTATACTACAAGGCTACAGTAACCAAAACAGCATGGTACTGGTACAAAAACAGATACATAGATCAATGGAACAGAATAGAGAACCTGCAAATAAGACTGCATACCTACAACTATCTGATCTTTGACAAATTTGACAAAAGCAAGCAATGGAGAAAGGATTCCCTATTCAAGAAATTGTGCTGGGATAACTGGGTAGCCATATGCAGAAGATTGAAACTGGACCCCTTCCTTACACCATATACAAAAATTAACTAACGATGGATTACAGACTTAAATGTAAAACCCAAAAACTCTAAAAATCCTGGAAGACAACCTAGGCAATACCATTCAGGACATAGACATGGGCAAATATTTCATCACAAAGACACCAAAAGCTATTGCAACAAAAGCAAAGATTGACAAAAGGGGTTTAATTAAACTAAAGAGCTTCTGCACAGCCAAAGATACTATCAGCAGAATAAACAGACAACCTATAGAAAGGGAGAAAATGTTTGCAAACTCTGCATCTGACAACAGTTTAATATCCAGCATCTATAAAGAACTTAAACAAATTTACAAGAAAAAAATAGCCCCATTAAAAAGTGGGCAGAGGACATGAACAGATACTTTTCAAAAGACTTACAAGTGGCCAACACTTATATGGAAAAAAGTTCAATATCACTGATTGTTAGAGAAATGCAAATCAAAACCACAACGAGATATCATCTCACACCAGTTAGAACTGGTATTACCAAAATGTCAAAAAATAAATGCTGGAGAGGATGTGGAGAAAAACGAATGCTTATATACTCTTGGTGGGAGTATAAATTAGTTCAACCATTGTGGAAGACAGTGTGGCAATTCCTCAAAGAGCTAAAGACAGAACTACCATTAGACCCAGCAATCTCATTACCGTGTATGTACCCAAAGGAATATAAATTGTTCTATTATGAAGACATATGCACGTGAATGTTCATTTCAGCACTATTCGCAGTAGCAGACATGGAGTCAACCTAAACGTCCATCAGTGACAGACTGGATAAAGTAATGTGATTATATATAGGTCAGTTTTGCCTTTAATTTGTTGCTCATTATTGTGAGCCTTAACATACTTCTTTGTGAACTTGCCACTGTTTCAATATAATATTGTAATCTTTATTTCAGAGTTTATTGCAAACATTTATGGTTAAGTATTTGATATATTTTATAGAGTTTACTTCCTTGTTGCTTATTGAAATTTGATTTTATAATTGTATTAAACCAATTTAAATATATTTAAATTCAAACATAGAAATAAAAAATTGAAGTGTTGATATGTCTAACAAAAAGCCAATGCACAAATTACCTTAAAAGATTAATTAAATGTCTGAATCACTAATTTAATAATATTTTCATGTTTAAAATGTGTCAAATATATTTTTGAGTCCTAGATATGTGAAGGTTTTGTGCAATGTACTGTAATATCTGCTAAGACACACTATTCTTTTCTTATCAGGTGAATTCATATTTGAACTGCAAGTTAATTTCTTGAACTGCAAGAAAAGAGGCACCTAGGAACATATTTGAAAATGCGTAATTTTAAAGCAGCTAAAATTATTTATTAATTAATAATTATTTTCTGAGTTTACATATTAGACAAAAAATGCTACTGAGAAGATATCACTGGTTTTTGCTCTGTAACAGAATTAGTTATATCTCGAATATGTTGCCACTCACCTTTCCTAGGCACATAGGAGAAATCAACAAATCATTGTCTTTTTTTACTGAAAGAGGAGGAGCACCAAAATCTGTCTTGACCACAGCTCTAGAAGGTACCTTATTAAACACTGTATCATCCTTGCCCTATTAAGTAAGTGCTTGCTAAATTGCATTCTTTTTGTGCTTTGAATTTTCAATAAATACATTCTGAGAAAATAATACACCGATTGGAATGCTTGACTATTCAAAATTTCAGGTATATACTCCATTATTTTATTGGTCTTTCTCTTATGATCCAGGCAGCACAGGATCAGGTCTTCTCTAGAACTCACTGTTGTATTTTTATGCCAAGAGCTTCAGTAGACAATCAGCAAATGGGCTTGCAGTCGGCAAAAATAGTTACATAGAGCTGATGATTTCTCATAGAGACGAGGGTGTTAATAGGAAAATATTTCTTTACTTATTTTTTCTTGGTGAATCAATAATAAACAGAGAACTTATTTTCGGAAATAAATTCAGAAAGTCAAGTATCTAAATCTGGTAGGGATGCCCATAGAATTTTTATAAGGAACATATATAATTTTATTTCTAAAAGTCCATTTAATGTTATTAGCTAGTACACGATTCAAAGGACAATTTAAAAATCAGGTAAATGTAGTAAAGGCAAATACATATTTTTGAATGAATAAATAAATTTAGAAAAGTCAATAAATATAAAAACCATGTGCAAAAAGATCATACCAGCAACAAACAAATTGGAGATGGAATTGTGAAATATGTGATCCGCCCACCTCCCAAAGTGCTGGGATTACAGACTTTAGCCACTGCGCCCGGCATTTTTTTTTTTTTTTTTTTTTTTAAGACAGTCTCTATCGCCCAGGCTGGAGTGCAATGGCACAATCGCAGCTCACTGCAACCTCCGTCTCTCGGGTTCAAGCTCTTCTCGTGCCTCAGCCTCCTGAGTAGCTGGGATTACAGGTGTACACCACCACGACTGGCTAATTTTTGTATTTTTAGTAGAGGCAGGATTTCACCATGTTGGCCAGGTGGGTCTTAAACTCCTGGCCTCATGTCATTCGCCTGCCTCATCTCAAAGTATGGGGATTATTGGTGCGAGCCACTGCGGCGGGCCTAAGATGTGAAGTCTTGATACTGTACAAAACATTATTAAAATGTTAAAGAAGACCTCTAGATTGTGGTTTTGGTTTACTATCCAAACAATTACACCATCTACAAATAATAACTATTCGTTTTCTTTATTTCCAGTACTCATGTATTTTATTTCTTTTTCTTGCCCTTTATACTAGTAAGAGGTCCAGTACAGTATTATCTAGGAATGATGATACTTTACATCTTTTAAAAATATCTAATTCCAAAATGAAGAAAAACAATTTTTCAGCATTTATTGTGATTGTGTGTGTGTGTGTGTGTGTGTGTGTGTGTGTCTGTCTGTCTCTCTGTCTGCCTGTGTATTCTCTAAGAGGTAAGGAAGGTATTTTTCCATTTCTAATTTTCTAGGACATTTTTACATAAACAGGGTCTAAATTTTGTCCAGTGCTTCTTTCTATACCAATTGAGACGACCATATACCTTTTTTCTTCTTTAACTATGTCAAATGTGGTAATTATACTGATCAAATCTTTTAAATCCTTATTATGTTATTTTCTGCTTTTCTATCACCTCTTGAGCATAAAGTCTCCCACCATAACATGGAGTTGACTTTTTCTTAATTTAATCAATTTTTTATTTATATATTTTTAAGTTATGTTTTGGGTCTATATAGATTTAGTATTTTAATGATTTCCTAATAGATTGACCCACTTATCATTATGAAATGTCCCCTTTTCTCCTTCGCCTTAAAGTATAAGTCAGGTTTCGTCAATTCAGTTTTTGCATGATATGTACTTTTCGTTTTTTAATTTTCAAAGTCATTTTATGATATTATTGCAGTGTGTATTTTATAAGCAGCATAAACCTTTCATTTTAATCTTGTTTAATAATTTAAAAATTTTACTTAGATAAATTTGTCTGTTTATGATGTCTAAATTATTGGTAGTTAGAGATAAATCTACCATCCTTTTTTTTTCAAATTTCCTGCTTTCTTGCTTTCCTTTGGATTAGACATTTTGTTATATTTTTCCTTACATTAACTTGTTAAACATGCAATCATTTATTATACAGCAGCTATCCTCAACTTATTACTTCCTAGTACCAAATATTAATTTACCATTTCCTAAAATAGAGTTAGATTTTTAAATTCCATTTACACTACTTTTTCGTGTTATTTTTCATGCAATTCAGTTATATATGCATTGCAAAATTCACAAACCATGACATCTATAGTCGTGTGCAAATTTTAGTTTGTATTTATTCCTATACATATCCTTTCCAGTGTCTATCTCTTATGTATCTTTATGTTTCTATTTAGTCTTGCATTCCTTCTGTTGCAGAACTGTCTTTAGCATTTCTTTTATAGAGTACTACTGATATATAGCTGCCTAATATTTTGTTGTTTTACAAACAGTATTTATTTGCACATTCATTTTGCCTCATTTTTTTCTTTCCTTTTCAAAGGCCCCAAAGATGTTAAATTACTTACTGATATTTATTTTCCTTGGAAGGATTGAGTTCCTTTTGAGTTGTTTTTCTTACATATAAATATTGCCATACAACTTCATACTCAGCAAAGATAATACATAGATATATTAAGTATACTTGCCATTGGATATATTTTCTTGGAAAAGGCAGCCATCTGCCAGATAGCTTATGTCCTTAATCAAAAGCAGGATCATTTTGATTTAATTCAAACCATCTACTTCTACTATAGCATGATGAAATAATACATATGCCCTTTTATGGATCAAAATAATATTAAAGTATTATTGTAAATGTAGTATATTTAAAGCATATGTGTATGTAATTTCAGCATACATTACTGGAATATTGAATTCAGTGTTCCATGTTTGGTATTCAGTATCAAATATTTTAAACACTGACATGATCATTATCATTTCTGCAGTTGTTTTTCTCCTTCATTTCCATGTGCCATGTGCATTTATTGATCTAGATGTGAATGTTTTGCAATATAATATTCAAACTGACATCCCTACTTTGTAATTTAATAGAACAATTTATTTTCAGTAGTGAAGTAGTAAGGAATAGGCCTTAGAAGATGGACACAAGAATTGCAATAAATTCAGGAGAGCAAAAATGAACTTAAAAAATCATGTTTGTTATAACATCAGAGAGTTGTGGAACAAATAAAGAACAGATAGCCTAAAATTCCACAGAGGAAAGATGCCTTTGTATATTGCCTTGTGTCCTCCTGTCACTTTGTGTCTTAGTGAAATTTGCCAAATACGAGCGTGATTGGAGATTCTGGTTTGGTCCAGGCAGAAGATCTCTACAAGAGTGGGGAATTCATCTCACCTTTGGCAGAGGCATGTACGTGCCTTACAGATTATGGATTATATGGCATGAGTGGAGCCCTTAACACCAGGCTGAATTTCTCTTTGGGACATTTGTTGAGGCCTGGGTTGAGAATGGTAGCTGGGTGGGTTGGCTAGAGACACACAGTGAAACCTCCTGCATTCTCCTGAGTTCTCCCCTACCATGCTGCCTTGATTTTCCTTTATGTGTGTCTGAAATATGGGCTTTGGGCTCCCACCACTACACCTCCTACTCATCTTCCCAGCCCCTGCACTGCTCTGGTCAGCATCATCTTTATTTTAACTATAAGCTTTCTTGAATGATCCTTTCTTTCTCTAATCATTCCCAGGTAAATGATGGGGGCAGAATCTACTTTTCCAAGGTCTTCTACATCCTGCTGGATTGACTAGGAATGTGTGATATGACCTGAGGTACATTTGGACAGGGACTCTCTTTGAGTCACTAAAGACTGTGTGATGCAATACTTCCCTGGGAGTTTGCCATTGCATCAGAGCACAGTCTTGAACTCCACGCAGGATCCCCACAACTCCCCAAGAAATACAGCAGAGCTTCCACTTGGGTTCATATATCAACTCCAACACACCACCACTAACACAGTTAACAGCTGCCCTCACATTCTCATTTACTGCCCTCTGCCCAAAGTCTATAGATTATTATTTTTCAAGGGGCAAAATATAAGCTTATATATTATTTTATATTAATCCAGATTCCATTGAATATGGCATACATTTTTGACTATGGCATACATTTTTAGTCGTTTTTTCTTTTGTCTTTTGAAACTTGGATATTTATTTTTAAAACACAGCTTTGGATTTCATAGAATTTTCTTTTCATTTCAACATACTGTGAATAAGATTGTTCAAAGATTTTTGTCACTAGGTCTTTGTTTTTGCATAAACTTACCAAAATATATCTAGCAGTTACAAAGTCTAGAATGTAAATACACGCAAGCACTCCCTGAAAAAAAAATAGGATAAAATGCTGTGCTTCCTGCTGTCCCAGAGAGAGATATATGTTAAGAAAAGTGTAAAGTGGAAGGTAGAAGATGGGAGAGAAACTGTTTTAGTATCACCAAATCTTGTCAAGGTACATGTACACTAGTAACTGCTAAACCAAATCAAAACCAAGAACGTATTAGTTTTGTATTGCCACTAATCTGTTTCATTTAGGTGGCTGTCAGGCTGAATGAATTTAGTTAGTGAATGAACGTAGGCAAGGCAGAGAGGATTACGATGAGCTTTGATTCAGCTTTCCCTTGCAACATGACTGGTTGTTCAGAGGGCACTTGACCTCCCTCCATTCTCCTGCAAGTTCTGCCAGGCCAAGACTCTTGCAACTGATGGGGACTAAATTGTGGTACCTGAGATGTAACGGAGATATTGATGGTCAAGAGCCCTCAGCTGTAATGTATTCTCCTGAATTCTCCATCATCTTCCTCTTTACTCTCCCAAGATAATAGACAGTGTCTGCTTTCCAGATAAACAACACATTTGGGCAGCTGAACCACAGCAAGAAGGGAGGTTTCTGTTCAGGGTTGTACCACTGTGTTAGGAAACTGTGTAGCTTGCATGCAGTAATAAACCCCAACATCCTCAGCCTCCACCCAGCTGATTTTCAGTGTGAAATCACTACCTGACCCACTGCCACTAAACCTGTCTGGGACCCCAGAAAGATGATTGGAAACCCTATAAATCAGGAGCTGTGGAGACTGCCCTGGCTTCTGCAGGTACCAATGCAAATAGGTATATCCATTACTATGCAGGAGGCTCTGACTAGACCTGCAAGAGATGGAGGCCGGCTCTCCAGGGTTGACGGGCAGGGAGGGTGGAGTCTGGGTCATCACAATATCTCCACTGGATCCTGAAATAGTGAGAGAAGTGCAAAGTTATGTACAAATATTGGGAACCATTGAAATGATATTCTTTCTGTTATCTACTTTATGCTAAGTGATTTTTTTGTGTGACTTTGGTTCATACCCCTAAACATCCAGGCATAAAAAGAACCAACATTCACAAGGCACAAAAGAGACTCAAGAAGTCGCCTACACTATTATCCTCTTCCTGTGTGACACTCTTCATGAGAGCACAAGTCCTTTGTCCTTCTAGGATATGAAGTTTAGAACTATAAGAGTGAGGAATCTTCTCTTTCTGACTCTTGCAGTTCTAAACTTTATACACCTTTTCTTGCAGGTCAAGATGTGCATGTGGACAGGCAGTGGGACCCCCAGAGCTCACCCTCACACTCCATTCTCCTCCCTTATCTCCCTTCTGTCCTTACCAGGAACCCAAAGCATTAGCAGCCCCAGGAGCTGAGCAGGGACCCTTATTGTGAGAAGGTGAGCTGAGGAGTTCTGATCAGTCAAGGCAAGGTTACAGCTGAGCTTTTATCTCAGACTCACAATGGAAGGTCCTCCCTAGGGGACAGTATGCAAATCCCCTGGTGGGTGCAGTGGGGTGGAAAGAGCCAAGGAGAGTATGGGGACATCTAGTGTGAGCACAGTGACATAATGTGTCCTCTGTGTTTAGAGGGAACCTAATAAAGTTTGTGCTGCCTGAGTGGAAAAAGGGACATATTTAATCATGTTCTTCTATTTCCTCTAAGAGATTTCTACATTGTTTTCACTTTCCCAGACACATTTTACACTTGTCTTTAATAGGCTGAGTTTCCATAAATATTTGGTTATTCTTATTTAATTTTATTATATATATACACACACATACATATATATACACATATGTATATATGTATAAATATATATATTTTTGATATATATAAATATATATAAATATATATATTATTTTGTGTATAAATATATATATATATATTTTGAGACAGAGTTTCACTTACTCTGTCACCCAGACTGGAGTACAGTGTCAGGATCTCGGCTCACTGCAACCTCCGCCTCCAAGGTTAAAGCGATTTTCCTGCCTCAGCCTCCCGAGCTAGCTGGGATTACTGGCGTGCACCACCATGCCTGGTTAATTTTTGTATTTTTAGTAGAGATGGGGTTTCATATGTTGGCCAGGCCGGTCTCGAACTCTTGACTTCAAGTGATCCTCCTGCCTCCACCTCCCAAAGTGCTGGGATTACAGGCATGTGCCACCACACCTGGCCAGTTATTCTTATTTATTATTTTCATATTTATTTTAGCATCTAGGTTTTTAAATTAGTTTCATTTTAGTTGACAAAATCCCCAGAGTAAAGGGCACAAATATTAAGAGTGTAACTGAATGAAGTTTGTGTATATTAACTGTCAAGGTGGAACTATGGAATATAGATTTTTGTTTTTCTTTTTTTTTTTGAGATGGAGTCTTGCTCTGTTGCCCAGGCTGGAGTACAGTGGCCCGTGATCCTGGCTCACTGCAAGCTCTGCCTCCCGGGTTCAGGCCATTCTCCTGCCTCAGCCTCCCAAGGAGCTGGGGACCACAGGCGCCCGCCACCATGCCCGGCTAATCTTTTGCATTTTTAGTAGAGACAGTAGAGACCAATATCATATTCCCTCAGTAATGCTCTGAGCTCTACTCCCTACTAGCATGTTCTTGTGAACTCAGGAACTGCTCTCCTAGACCCCGGCTTTCTGGAGAGCAGGTGAGGGGGAGGCACCAGGGAAAGGCCAGGTCATTGAGCTGTTGGGTGTATGTTCCTGCTGTGCACCATCAATGCCACTTTCCTCTTTTACGCTTAAGCAATGAATGGGGACATCATCCTGACCCAGATTCCAGCTTCTCTGTTGGGATTGGTAGGAGGGAGAGTCTTCATCTCCTGGCAAGCCACTGCTTACGTATATGGAAAAGTATTTTAGATTCTAATAAAATTGGACAAAGATTTGAAATCCGATTTTTTACATATCTAACTTGGCCCTGATTGTCTCAGCCTGGTTCAGCAACAGAAGGAGTGGAATAAATTGCATCAGCATCAGTAGACTGGAGCCTGAGGACTCCAGGGAACATTCGCACGCAAGACTAGGGGAGGCCAAGTCACAGCAGTCTAGCCTGTGCACCGTCCTCCTGTGGCCTTTCATGAGCCTGATTTTTTAGAGAAACTTGCTTACATCCAGCTTGCCAGGATCAAATTCTAGAGAGACGCAGATTTAAATGTAAGTTCGCATCTTTTTTTTTTCCTGCGTGGATGTGCTGGAATGATGGAGGAAGGAGTTATGGAGCCAGGAATATGACGGTATCTTGAAGATTAAAATCAAGAAATCCGATGTTCTCCCCTGGAGCCTCCGGAAGAAATACAGCCCTAGTGACTCCTTAATTTTAGCTCAGTAAGACTTCTCAATCCAGAATTGTAGATAATAAATTTGATAGGATTTATTGTAGATAATAAATCATACTGAATGCGGTATAATTGTGGTAATTAGTTGCCCTAGCAATAGGAAACTGTTACAGGCATAAGGCATGTCTTTTATCTTTCTAAAAGTGTGATTGTCCTTCTTCTTCTAAACATTTCCATTGTGTTATCATTTGGTGTCAATTTTGATCAGAGGCAGAGAACATTTTACTGCGAGGACAGCTAGCACCAGAATTCTTAGGTGGAAAATCTCTTGTGAGAATCCCTTTATTAGGTCTCATATGATCTGCATGTCTGAGATCCTAGGGGTCAGCTCTCACAGCACAATGTGGGGGAGCATGTGTGGTTGTTTGTTTCTTATTATATTAGTAGGACTCGTTAGATTTTCAGGACAGGATCTGAGAGGAAAGGAACTAAAAACAAAGACCATATGGTCATCTCAACTGATGCAGAAAAGGCGTTCAATAAAATTCATCATCCCTTGATTTTAAAAGCCCTGAACAAACTAGACATTGAAGGAAGATACCTCACAATTATAAGACCTATATATGACAAACCCACAGCCAACATCATACTGAATGGTGAAAAGCTGGAAGAACTTCCTCTAAGAACCAGAACAAGACAAGGATGCTTATTACTCTCACCACTCCTATTCAACATAGGGCTAGAAGTCCTAGCCAGAGGAGGAGAGGAAGTCAGTCTATCTCTCTTTGCATCTGATATAATTTATACCTAGAAAACCCTGTCTTCACTGCCCAAATGTTCCTGGATCTAATAAACCACTTCAGCAAAGTTTCAAGATACAAAATCAATGTAAAAAACCAGTAGCATTTCTATATACCAACAATGTCTATGCTGAGAGCCAAATCAAGAATGCAATCCCATTCACAATAGCCACAGAAAATAAAGTACTTAGGAATACAGTTAACCAGGGTGCTGAAAGATATCTACAACTAGAATTATAATAAACTGCTGAAAGAAATCAGAGATGACAAAAACAAATGGAAAAATATTTCATGCTCATGGATGGAAAGAATCAATATTCTTAAAATGATCACATAGCCCAAAGCAATTTACAGATTCAATGCTATTTATATCAAACTATCAACAAAATTTTTCACAGAAGTAGAAAAACTATTCTAAAATTCATATGGAACCACAAAAGAGCCCGAATAGACAAAGCCGTCCTAAGCAAATATGAACAAAACCAGAGGCATTGCACTACCCGACTTCAAACTATATACTACAAGGCTACGGTAACCAAAATTGCATGGTTCTGGTACAAAAATAGGCACATAAATCAATGTAACAGGTTAGAGAACCCAGACTTAAAGCTGTACATTATAACCATCTGATCTTGACAATGTTGACAAAAGGTAGCAATAGAGAAAAGGCTCCCTATTTGATAAATGGTGCTAGCATAACTGGCCAGCCATATATAGAAGATTGAAACTGGACCCCTTCCTTTCACCATATACAAAAATCTACTCAACATGGATTAAAGACTTAAATGTAAAACCTAAAACTTCAAAAACTCTAGAAGAAAATCTAAGAAATACCATTCTAGACAAAGGCCGTAGTAAAAATTTCATGACAAAAACTCCAAAAGCAACTGCAACAAAAACAAAAATTGATAAATGGGACCTAATTAAAGTAAAGAGCTTCTGCACAAGTTAAAGAAACTATAAACAGCGTCAACAGACAGCCTACAGATTGAGGGAAAATATTTGTAAACTATGCATCCGACAAAGACCCAATAACCAGAATCTGTAATGAACGTAAATTAACAAGCAACAAACAAAAACAACCCCATTAAAAAGTGGCCAAATGACATGAACAGACTCTTCTTAAAACAAAACATGCACATAGTCAACAAGCATATGAAAAATTCTCAACACCACTAATCATTAGAAAAACGCAAATTAAAACCACAATTAAGTATCATCTCACACCAGTCAGAATGGCTATTATTAAAAACTCAAAAAATAACAAATGTTGATGAGGTTGCAGAGAAAAGAGAATGCTTATACACTGCTGGCGGGAGTGTAAATTAGTTCAGCCACGGTGCAAAGCAGTTTGGAGATTCCTCAAAGAACTTTAAACAGAACTACCTTTTGATTCAGCAATCCTATTACAGAGCGTATACCCAAAGGAATATAAATTGTTCTACCATAAAGACACATGCACACATATGTTCACTGCAGCAAAGACATGGAATTAACTAAATGCCCATCAGTGGTAGACAGAATAAAGAAAATGTGGTACATATACATCACAGAATACCACCCACAACTGCAACAAATACAAGACAAAGTTCAGATTATGGACCGTAGTTGGCCTCTACTATATTCTCTTCTTTGTTCTCATTCCTGGAGTCTGCCCACAGTTTTAAAATTCTCACCCTTTGGTAAAGAAAAAAAAAACCTCACATTATTCTGTGTTATTCTAGTGGCATATAACATAAATTCTATAATCTGCTTGTTCCAGTTTAAGTTTTTGTTTTTAAAATCCAACTTTTGGAATTTCAAATATTATCCTTTTTTATTAGCAAGAAGTAATTGAAATGAATGAAAGAGTTTTAACATCAGGATCTTCTGTCTTCCATGACGTCACAAAAGTCTATTTGGAGGTGCAAATTCAAGCTTTTTCATGATTGTCCTCAGCCAGCTCTCCCTGAGGACAGCTTGTGTAGAATGCTCTTTTCACTATTTGTTATGTGGTGCAATGGGAAGAGAACTAGTAAAAAGGAGAAGAAGGAAATTGGAAAAGTTGAAAAATACCAGTTTCTAAATACTACCAAATACTACCCTCTTAAAAATATACACAAAAGACCTAAACTTCAAGAGATATTCAACACGTGTTGACACGAATCTGTGTTACTTGTCTGGCTATTAAGCTATTTGAAGTCTCATTGTCGAATGTAGGCAAGGCAGGGAAGATTAGTGTGAGATTTCCCTCCGCTCTCCCTCAGTCCTGTCTGCTTACTCTGAAGGCACTTGAATTATCTCTGTTTTCCTTTGGCTTATGCCATGCCAAGGCTGTGGGAGCTGACAGGACCATGAATGGGTTTTACCTGATGTACTGCTGAGTCCCCCATGGGACAGGTCATTCAGCTGCAACCTTTTACCCTGAGCTCACCAACATCTTCATTTTTTTTTTTTTTTTTTTTTTTTTTGAGATGGAGTCTCCTTCTGTCATCCAGGCTGGAGTGCAGTGGTGTGATCTTGGCTCACTGCAGGCTCCATCTCCCGGGTTCAAGCTATTCTCCTGCCTCAGCCTCCTGAGTAACTAGGATTACAGGCGTGCACCACCACATCCAGCTAATTTTTGTATTTTTAGTAGAGATGGGGTTTCACCATGTTGGTCGGGCTGGTCTCAAACTTTTGACCTCATGATCTGCCCGCCTCGGCCCAACATCTTCATCTTATACAGCAGAGATTCTGTTGTGCCACTCCCCAGATAAACAACATATTTGAGCAGCTGGGCCACTCCAAGCAGGGAGGTTTGTATTCAGGGTTGTACCACTGTGGGAGGCACTTGTGTACCTTGCAGGCAGTAATAAACCCCAACGTCCTCAGCCTCTACCCTGCTGATTTTCAATATGAAATCTGTCCCTGAACCACTGCTGCTGAACCTGCCCGAGACCCCAGACTTCCTGTTAGAAACTTCATAAATCAGGCACCTTAGAGGTTGGTCTGGCTTCTGCAGAAACCAATTCAAGTAAGTGTTTCCATTTCTATGAAAGGGGCTCTGACCAGACCTGCAGGAAATGGAGGATGGCTCTCCAAGGAAGAGTGGAGTCTGAAGTCTCAGGATGTGAACTTGGAGGGATTTTTTTTCCCACAAGAATCCAGCAAATGAGAGGATAACCTTACAGCATCCATAAGGTAGAAGCCTATCAAACGTAAGGACAACCTGAGACTAAGGGTAGCCAGGGAGAGAAGATCTGAGCTGGAAAGGGTGAAACAAATGGACCAAAAGAAGCTGACCGCAAGACAGAAAGTTCAGAATCAGGGAAGCTGAATATGAATCTGACTAGAAGATGCTCTTGAGAGATTTAAACTTTTCCCATGTTTTATGTTTCCCATATTGCAAATAGTTTCCATTGTTA
The DNA here is from genome assembly GCF_000001405.40 of Homo sapiens. NCBI lineage: Eukaryota > Metazoa > Chordata > Mammalia > Primates > Hominidae > Homo > Homo sapiens. Next base: position 244,387 of record NW_012132915.1, read on the forward strand.
AGAGAGTATGTTTGTACAGAAATTCAGCTTATGACGAACTTTGAAATTCCACCAAAGAGATCGAGGGAACGATGGGTTGTTGCTTTTCAGGACTACAAATCAGCCTGTCTTTGAGATCTCACACTGTCTATTTTGCAGTGGAATCTGCGATGAGGCTGTGAATTGGGCAGTGAAGTCAGGGCAGGGCTGACTGTGCTCTGGGTGCCACGGATAACAGGGACATTCCTTCAGGGCTGGTGATGCTGGGAGGCTGAGGGGAGAGACTCAGTATGAAGCCATCTGTGAGCCTCCTTGGCAATGCTATCTGGACCCTGGTCATCTAATGAGCCACTCCAAGCAGGGAGTTTTGCCTTCAAAGTTGTATACATGGATGCCCGTGGATGGCCAAACATAGGCTCAGGTTGAGCAGGGACCAAGATTTAGGAAGGAGCAATATGAGGCTGACCTGATGCTCTGAGGTTTCAGCACAATCTTAAGGGATCATACAGGGAGAGAAAGGGGTCACAAGGTGTAATTTTTTCATTTGATGCTGAATATACCTCTTCAGACCATTTTTCTACCCTGTATGTAACTACTGGTATACATTTAACCAAAGCCACTGCTACTAATGATCATTTCAGTCATTGATAGTGAGAGGTGAGGCCAGCTAGACTTCCTGGGTGGAGTGGGGACTTCTTACAAGAGGATTGTAAAATGCACCAATCAGCACTCTGTAAAACGCACCAGTCAGTGCTCTGTAAAATGCACCAATCAGCAGGATTCTAAAAGTAGCCAATCGTGGGGAGGATTGAAAAAAGGGCACTCTGATAGGACAGAAGCGGAACATGGGTGGGGACAATAAGGGAATAAAAGCTGGCCACCCCAGCCAGCAGTGGCAACCCGCAAGGGTCCCTTTCCATGCTATGGAAGTTTTGTCCTTTAGCTCTTCACAGTAATCCTTGCTGCCGCTCCGTGCCATCTTTAAGAGCTGTAACACTCTCCACAAAGGTCCGTGGCTTCATTCTTGAAGTCAGCCAGACTCACCAGCAGGAACCAACTCCGGACACAATAGCCTGTGTGCACAGATCCCGAGAAGCTGGAAATCTGGACCACCATTCAATGTATGAGGAGACATACACATAAAGTTCACGTTTTCGCCATCCACAGGAGGTGACTGTGGATGTGAGTTTGAGTCTGACTACAAGACGGTCTTGTGAGATTTAAACTACAATTTTTCCTATTGAAAAGAAGAAACACCTTTTTTTACCCTTTTTGCAACAAATATGTATTGAGCCCCAACAGTCATGCATTGTGCTAAATGAAAAATTTAAAGATGGCACAAAAGAACAAAAAAGGAAGAGAAAGAGAGGGGGGGCTTCAAAATCTTGTATAATTCGTTGCAAATACTATGAACACTTCCAGGTATGTTTATTCATAAGGACAGTGGATGCAACTGGCAGAGGCTGCAGTTTTGCAGTGGAGGGAAACTCTGTATACAGAGGCAAACTTCTTCTGCCATGGCCACAGCAATCCCTTGTTCTAAGCTTAGGAAGAAAAATCTAAAAAAATGAAAGTCACAGAAATAGCAAGTAGAATGCTGGTTACCAGAGACTGCATTGTTAAAGGGTACAAAATATCAGTCTGATAGGGGGACTAAGTTTTGGTGATCTGTTGCATAGCATGGCGACATTATTATATAGATGTATTTCTGGCAGGCTTGATTGCCTATTACATGGTAAGTCAACATACACTAAGACACTGGGGGCTGCTGCAGAGAAAGAGATTTAATCCCAAGGCAATTAAATGAGAAGACAGGAGGAAGCCTCATATCTACCTCCCCAAGCACTTTGGGGTTAAAGACTTTAAGTGGTTTTGGATGGAGAGGCAGATTGGTTGAAGAGTGAAGGATGAAGTCATGGGACTGGGAGGTGAAGAAACTGCTTTCTTATGTTGACTCGGTTCTTTGGGAGGGGGGTGGTCTTTAGACAAGTTGGTGTCAGCTATTCTACTGGAATTCAGGATCTGGTAAATATCTCAAAGATTAGGTTTTATGCTCATAATGGTGAAGGTGTTATATTTGGGAACAATGGGGACGTTAATGGTCTGTATTTATTGCAACTTGACTTTTATTAGTGAGAAGCTAAGGGAAGTGGCTCAGAATGTTGTCTGATTAATGCTTAACTATATTTCAGTCTGGAACCTGGAATACTGTTCTTGTTAACCTTATGACAGTGGTTTTGTAGTTAATAATACTATATTCTGTATTTCAAAATAACAAAGTATATTCAATGTTCTCAGTACAAAAAATGATAAATATTGGAGGTGAGGACTATGTTAATTAACCTGATTTGATTATTCGACAATGTATACATGTATGCATCTCATTGTACCCCATATGTATATACATTACTATTTGTCAATTAAAATCAAAATAAAACTTTTAAAAATTCATGTAGCCATTGCCTGGAATAAATAAAGAAAAATATGTGTGCACATGCTTAACTATACCCCTGTAAAAATTGAAGCTACTAAGTCCAGTAAAATACTGAATCACACATATTTCTGTCTTTAGCTTTAGTGGAAATAGTCAAAATACTGGGTCCCAACAATACTTATATTAGTCTTTTCTTCCCATATCCACCACCTTGTTATTTTTTAATTCATTTGTAATACATTTAGTTTCATTTACTCTTGTTTGTAACCCATTTGGATCCTCTCATCTTTCTTGATTTCAATTATTTTCAAATATTTGTAGTATAAATAGAGTCTCCAAAGACATAAATTCACAAAAACAAAAAGGTAAGCTCAGAGACGTGTCGCCTTCCACCCCTTCTGTACCACTCTCATCTCATCCCTTCACCCCGTTACCAGCCCCTTCCTCTTATCACTCCCTGCCAGCCTCACTCTGTCTATCCTCTCAAATTTGTTGTTTTCGTTTACGGTTCTGTTTGTTTTTAAATCTCCTCTGCTTTCTTACTTGGAAGGTAACACGGTATAGATATTTGTTTGCACTTTGCTTTTTTTCATTCAACTGTATATCTGAGAAATAACTTCCTGTCAATTCATAGATAACTTCTTCCTTTTGACAGTTGATACATACTCCATTGCATGAATGTTCCATAGCTATTTCAACAAAATATTTATTTATGAATATTCTGGGTGGTGTCAACATTTTACAAATCATTACAATTAATGTTCCAATGAATAACCTTGTGTATATGTAATTTTGTAGTGTTGAAGATGTATCTTCAGAGATTCCTAGGAATGGGATTATGGGTCAAAGTTACACATTAAGATAGTTTTGTAGATGTTGTCATATTCTCCTTCTTAAAAAGGTAGTATTAGTTTCCATCCTCACAGCTGTTAATGAGAAATCCTGTTTCCCTATAACCTTGCCTAAAAATACGGTTAATATTTTTTGGATTTTCTTAAACCAGATAATACTACCTCAAAGTAGTTTCAATTTGCATTTCCCTCATTACTGAGATTACACACTTTACTTGTGTTTAAATGCTATATGTATATATCTTTTATAATGCATTGTCTGTTCTCTTTTCTTCTTTTTTCTATTGGATTTTTGACCCATTATCTTAACTTTTAATAGAGTTGTTTCATATTAGAACAGTAACAGTTTATTTGTTTAATATATTAAGAATAGTTTCTCCTTGTTTTTAGTTGTCTTTTGATTTTATTTTTGTGTATGCAATTTCATTTATTTATTTACAATCTTTTATCTAAAAATTCAATCATATTTGGCACAACATATTTTGTTTACAGTGTTGATTTATTTTATCCTAATTTGTTTTTTAGTTCTGTATTATTTTATTATAATTGAGTACCCCAGAGAACTACAACCTGCATCCTTGGCTTATTGTGTTTTACATAATTTAGCATTTGACGAGCTTCCAGACCTGGATCTTAAGCCTCATGATCCCCCCCGCCTCGGCTTCCCAAAGTGCTGGGATTACAGGCGTGAGCCACCGCGCCCGGCCGAAGGGACATATTTTTTAATATCCTTCTGTTTTCTCTAAGAGGTTTCTAATTATTTTTCCCTTTCCCAGGCATATTTTACATTGGTCTTTAATAGGCTGAGTTTTCATAAATATTTTCTATTCTATATGGTATTTTTACGTATTATTTTAAGTGATAAAACACCCAGAGGGCACAAAGGGCACACATCTTCAAATTGTAACTGAATAGTTTTTGTGTATTCATTGGCCAGATGGAACTACAGAATATTTACCTTCTGCTGATGCTTCCTCCATGCACCTTCCTCTTCAGTAACTGCTTCCCCATCTCAACCAAGGTAATTGTCATTCTGACATCGAACACAGTAATTTGGGTTTTTATGTCTTTAATGTCATATAAATTGAATTGTGTGCTTTTTTCTAGCTTTATTCTTATTGTTTACTACTTTTGAGTCCTTCATTATAGGCTGTGGGCTCAAAATCCTGCCTGCTGTAATCTTCTGTGATTCTGAAAGATTTCATCTTGAATTTCTTATAAGGCAGAGCTGCTATTAATGAATTTATTCTGTTTATCAAGGAATATTTTTAGTTCTGAAGAATATTTTCACCAGAAACAAAATTGCTGGTTGTCCTCTTTCATTTCCTTTTAGTATTTAAAGATCTCATTCCAATCTCTTCCAGCCTCCCTCGGTCCTAATGAAAACTTAGCCAATGGCATTATTATTGTGTCTCCATATGTAGAGTCAGCTTTTAGTCCTGACACATTCACGAATTTCTCTTTGTCTTTCAACATTTTAAAGTATAATGTATTTTGTTATTAATCTTGTATTATATCCTGAAAGCGTTTCATTGAGTTTCTTTCATCTATAGATTAAATTACCTTTGTGGTTCATTATTTTTGAAAAGCTGTTGTCATTACTTTTCCAAGTATTTTTTGATCACTTTCTCTCTCTCTCTGCTTTTTTTGTGACTCGTTTTACACACTTGTTGGTATCTTTCAACCTGAGCTGTAATTCTGTCAAGTCTTGCGCATTTTTTCTTAAACTCCTTTCTTTATTTAGATTCAATAATTTCTGTACATCTATTTTTAAGTTCACTGAATCTTTTGCCATCTTAAACTGATGTTGGACTTATGTAATATATTTTTCAGTTGAGTTATTGTACTTTTTGTTTCTAGAATTCTCACTTGATTCTTTTCCATAGTTTCTATTTTTTAAGAGTTTCCATTTGCTGAGTCATTGTCTTTATATTTTCCTCTTTATATCTTTAAAACTATATGATCGTAGTTTTAAGAATAATTATTTAAACATCTATATAATAATTGCTTTGTAGTCTTTGCTAAAGCTGATATTCAGGACAAGTCAGAATCAGCTTTCATTGACTGTGCTTTCTTGCTGCAGTTGTTTTGTTTTGTTCCCTCAATATTGATCATACTTTTCTGTTTCTTTGCAGGATTTTTTAATGGAAAACTGTATATTTTAGATAATATATTCCTGTACCTCTATCAGGAATATATTCTATTTTTCTTAAAATTTGTGAGTTTCTTTATAGTTACTTCCCTGAACTTACAGTAAGTCCCTAATTCATGGTGGTTGCACTTAAGATGTTTTGACTTTACAATAGTGTGAAAATTATTTGTATTCAGTAGAAACAGTGCTTCCAGTACTGGTACAACTACTCTGTTTTTCACTTTCATATAATATTCAATAAACCACATTACAATAAGTTATAATAAATTATTGGTGGTGATAAATGAAAGTGACCAGTGAAATTCCTTTTGGAAGGAAGCCTTTGACAAAGCTAAGACAGCTGTTCCTATCACTCTTCCTACTTGGTCATTCACTAACTTTCTTAGTTTTGTTATTTATTAAAACAGAGTACCTCTCTGCAAATGAACAGCTGTTACTGAGTCAATTAGTTGGATAAATATAATTTTCTACCTTTTAAAATATTTGTAGAAGTCAAATGGATAGCTGCACCATGCACTGAGCTGCGTTTACTGGGGAGACTGAGAATTATTGATGTCATGTTAAGAATCACACTGTGAGAAACTAATTCTGGAAATCTGAGATTCTGGTGGCACAGTTGAAGAGGGTTTGGCTACATCTGCGTAGTGATTATTTCCAAAAATAAGCACGTTTGCAAATTTTTAAACTTCTGATCTCACCATCACCATACTGCCACCCACACTATATTCCAGGTATTCAGGCACTGGAAGTTCTCATTTTGGTGTTTCTTCAGGTTCACTGTGGCTATTCTACATCCTTGACATTCCCATATAATATTTAGATTAGCTTCTTAATTTAAATTGGAGTATACTTTAGGATTTTGATTTTTCTTATATGTAATCAATATTTTAATCTTTGAAGAATTGACATTTTTATAGTACTGAGACATTCAGTCTTTGAACTGAATTTCTATTTACTTAGGTTTTCTTTTATTTTTCAAAATAATATTCTGGAGACGTCAGTGTATTTAGTCTATTTTTTTTAAATAATTGATACTTTGATGTTTTTGTAAATGGTGTGTTTGTTTTATAATGTTAATTTTTAGCATTTTTTATTATGCAGAAATGAAATTGATTTTTGAATCTATGAATTAATAAATTGATCTTGAATCTAATGATTTTCTATTTCTCATGTCAATTTTAGTAGTTTCTCTGTAGACAAATTTGAATTTTATCTGCACACAATCCTTCATCAGTGAATTATGACAGCTTTAATTCTTCTTTTCCAATTTTGATTATTTGTTGCTATTGTTGTTGCCTTATGGCTCTGGTTGGGACCTTTACTGACATCCACTGATGTAAATCTGATCCAGTGGCCATTACTGTGAAACTGTGCTTAAACCTGGCTGTCCATCTTGGTCTGAGGAAAAATGCAGGAATCAGAGTCAAAAATATATCAAGGGATTACTTTTTTAAGATCCCCAAAATGCCCAAGCAGAGAAGAGATGCTAAAATTGAGTTGTCATTGCAGCAGCTATCTGTAAAGGAAGCAGCTGGTATAATCTAGTAAACAATGAAGGTCTTGCAGAGGTTTTTGTTTCAAGCTGAATCACTGTGGGAGGTGAGCTACCATACTGCTGACAGTAATACACTGCAAAATCTTCAGGCTCCAGTCTGCTGATGGTGAGAGTGAAGTCTGTCCCAGACCCACTGCCACTGAACCTGTCTGGGATGCCAGTGGCCCTGCTGGATGCACCATAGATGAGGAGCCTGGGAGCCTGGCCAGGTTTCTGCTGGTACCAGGCTAAGTAGCTGCTGCTAACACTCTGACTGGCCCTGCAGGAGAGGGTGGCTCTTTCCCCTGGAGACAAAGACAGGGTGCCTGGAGACTGCGTCAACACAATTTCTCCGGTGGTATCTGAGATTGGAAATAAAACAGAAAAGTCACCCATGTAATCTAAATCAAACCCATTGTCTTCCCAGAAGAGCCAGAATTATTGCTTTATATTGAGCTTTAATTATTGTATTGACTGAGCAGAGTTGCCAGGTAACAGGACTTGAGAGGGTTTTCACTGACATGCAAAACCATCCCATGTTCCCCTCACCTGGGAGCCAGAGTAGCAGGAGGAAGAGAAGCTGCGCTGGGGTTTCCATGGTTCCCTCTGGGTCCTAACTGAGCAGCTCTTCTCCAGAGCTCTGACCCAGGCATTGATATGGGCTCTGGACTGCAGGGCGGCTGGGAGGGACATGCAAAGCAGCTGGGGCGGGTGCTGGGCTTGCAGCTGCAGAGACAATCTGCCTCCCCTTTCTGCTCTCAGCAGCCCATGCCCAGGTGATCAGGCCAGAAAAGGCCGTTGGCTCAGTCTGAGGGTAGAACTTCTCCCCTGCGGCCACAGAATTTAACCCCTGTGTCCTCTTGTCTCACCATCACCTAGATTGAGCCACAGAATGTTTGGTACAAGTCTGTTAGAAACAAAATAGAAGGCTGTGGTTTCATTTTTCTCTTTCTGCTCCAACTTGTGCCCAGTCAGCTCCCTAAATGCATGATGGATCAGGTTGAAAGGAAGAGTCTATTACAACTTTATCTTCCGGATATACTTGTATTTACTTGTTAGTGATCTTTCCTGAGGGTCCAGAAGCTGTCTCATTCTTTGCAGAAATTAAAAGAGTAACATTCAATTAACCTCAGCACTGTGGGTGTGAGGACTTTCACAACTGCACAGATAAGTGAGACCTGGGCTCCAAATCCTCAGGGTAGTGATACCATTTCCCTAAAGACAGAAGATGGTTTTGTCCATGCAGGCAAAGAACTATTTCTTGGGTGATCCTCTAAACTATCCAGTCTTTTTATTCTGTATAGCTGGTATAGTTTACCCTTAGTAGGATGAAACAACCACTTCAGTCTGTGACAGGGTGAGGTCTGGGATGCAGATACAGTGTTTTGTCAAATTATCTGTGTTGGCTTGGAAGAGCCTTACAAAGACATGAAGCTTCTGGGTCTCTGCTGCCTGATCCTTGAAGAAAAAGCAGATTGACAGATCAGTGCCCCACCTCCCATCCACCCCAGGATCTCAGGCATCCCCTACTCATCCACAGGTGTTGGGCTGAGTTAGTGGAGGGACTCAGTCTGTCTCTCCCTGTTCTGAGACTACTACCTCTTTGGGCACCCATTGCCATTGTTGCTTGATCCAGTCCTTTCACCCTCGGTTGTCCAGTTCTAGAAGGCAGGTCAAGTACTGTAGAAAATTGACATGTCTGATAACGTCATCCACCCTAATGGAGGAATCAGATGACCCTCCTACCAGCAGAAGGAAATTAACACCCTGATATTTCTTGATCCTGTGGAACCCATAGAAGGCACCCAGGGGAATCATTCCATCCAATTAGAGTTAGGAGGCCTGTCTGGGTTATCATGGTGGCCTAAACTGCAACACCCCCAAGAACATCACTATAAAAGGAAAAAAATGATTGGAAACACTGAGTTTGGGATTTCACAGTGGCAGCTCTATCAGGAAACTGGCCTTGCCCAACTTCTTCCTCACTCAACTCAGTGTTTTTCAACCTGCACCTCCGTGCCGTCTTTCCCTTGCTCTGCAGTGCAGTGTTTAATGTCCAATTGCTGTAGTCAGATGGGGTACCACTCTACTAGCAGGTTGCCCTGATGTACACTCTTCAGTTGCCGTGTGAGTCAGCTGTTCTAGCATTAAATAGATCCATTGGCCTTTGGATAACAAGGTGTATGGAAAATCCATCATGTCCCATGAGAGTGTGTCCATTGACGTCATTTGGGCAGTAAAGAACTTTCCTTGGTCAAAGCAAAGTCTCAGTGGGCATCCAAAAACATGGCATAAGTTCATCTCAAGGGTGGTCATGGTAGACCCAGCATCCAGCTGAGTGACATATTTGTCTCTTATAGGTGGCAAGCTGTTGCCATAGTCCTTTTCTCCACAGAGGGGATGCTTTAATAGTCCAGTCACTCGGTTGCTATTTTCCTGATCAGATAGCTAGACTGTTGGCAGTGGCCCATGAGTTGGTAAAAATATAGCAAGAGGTGGCAGAAAGGCCTGCATGACCATTACCACTGCATGTAGTTTGGACCATTGGGTGGAATGACCATTATCAGTCTCAGGAAAGAAAATAGTCATCCACTGGCTAGATGGTAGCCACCCCCAGTCTACATGTTTTGCAGAGCCCTAAGTGAACCATGCCATACCGATGTCGGCATGTCTCTGAATCTTGGACTTCGGGTAGCCAAAAGCAGAGCCAAACCATCCCCCATGGGTCATTTAGTCCCTTCTAGCAAGCTCGCCATTTGTTTATGGAGCCTTTGGATCCCACGGGTTGCTGGCTGGGCCTGATTCTGAATACACCATTTCCATTTGATAATGCAGCTCTATTGAGCCTGTCCAGTTTCACTGGTTGGATTTTAGGCACCCAAGTGAAAAGGAGCAGTTCACCCAGCAGCGCCACACTTGGTGCTCAGCCCCAAGATGTCCAGTCCCTGTCAGTTTCCCATAGCAAGCAAGGAGTTGCTATGCCAAAGAGGGACATCTGGTGGCTGCTTCAGCTGGTTTGTGTTCAGTATCTGAGAGGCTGGCTCACTCAGTGACAATTTTCTGTTGCCACATACTACAGTCAGCATACATAGAGACTGTGGACACCTGAACTTCCATCAGGCTAACAGGCTCTAAAGGTCTAAAAGAAGTGTTTGGACCATGTCCTGTTGAACTTCTTCCAAGGCTGCTGTTGCAAAGGGCTCTGTTCAAGGTTGGTGGTTTTGTTTGTGATTTTGATTTTGACTAAGGGGACTGAAAGCCCACCCCAGAGAGGTTTATGCTGTTACCAATACTCAAAGAAGCCTACCAGCTGTTGTCCTTTATTAATGGTTGCTGCTAGTACCAACAATGTTTAACTATATCTGCTATCCTTCCTTGGTTTCCTGTCCAAGTGGCCTTAGCATTCAACGTGAAATAGTCCATCGTTAGTCTCTGTTCCCCTAAAGTCTTTTTGCCCCGCCAAACTGAGTTGCTCCATGGTGACAGGGGACTATGTAACATTTTAATCTATTTGTAGCAAGTCTTGAAAAAAACAGGTAATGTCTTATTCTTCACTTAGTACACAGTACTGTTTTTGTCAAATAACCCACGGAGTCATGCGTAGCTTAGGTCGTAGGCTTCAGTGGATATTCCCTTTTGTTAAGGCTTGAATTCTTAGCTGCGAGGGAATATACCTTTTATGCAGCAGTGATGTTCTGTGGTGCAAATATCAATGCCTGTACTGCACTCTGAGGTGGGAACTACAGTCACCAGCCCCAACATGGCCCACAGGGCACCATCCACAAGCAGAGAAGCACCATGGCCACTGCATTTGTCCCTGAACCTCTCAATGTCATTGGTTAAATTTTCCCCAATGGAGACCTATGGGCTCTGGCACCCAAAAACCCAGAAAAGTATTTCCTTATTTTCTCCTTTTATTTTTACATGGTCTAGGGCCACTGGTTTCTGGTGAGCACCCAAAGGCATTGGCTGTATCCCTAACAGTGACATTTAGATCAAGAAATTTGGAACTGCAAATATTGCTTTATCAAACAAATATACCAAACAGTCTGCATAAGACTTCCCTGAACTTTTTCTGTATCTCTTATTTAGAGAGTGAGTCTCCCTTTGTGTGAAAGCCCAAATAGCATATGTTGGTTCCCTCTCAGGGATCTTAGGGTCCATTTGAGTACCCGTTTCCCTAGCTCTCTGGCTCCAGGAATGAGCAATTATGCAAGTGTCTATGAACCAGAGGATTTTGTGCCTCATTCTCATTTCTACACTCCTTTCTCTCTGCCTTAATTCAGGCAGCCAGCTCATCTAAACTCATGCAGAGAGTGATCTATAACCCACTGATCCTCCCTCATTCCCCATAAAGCACCCAGATGCATGTCCAGGCCTTGCACCTTCCAGTCTAATGGTCCTCCCCTGGCCAAGTAATGGGAGGTATCATTCTTCCCACTTCACCAATAAGCCATGGTTCTGTCATACTAGAATCTTCTCAATGGGGCAATTTTGTTAAGCAGGTTAACTGTGCAGTGATTACCAACTTATTTGAGTCCAGGGAGATTAAACACCCTTACACAACTAGTTATGTGAAGCAATTTACAATTTACAGACAGGCAGCAAGGGATAGCAAAATCCAAGAATTTATTGTAGGTCTGTTCCCCCAAGGCTCAGGAAAGCTGCCTGGGGCTGATGGGGTCTAGACTGCTTCATATATACTGCAGCTGAGGCACTCTGGATTGGACCCACCCTGGGTTTTATATCTTGGAGTCACATATCATGCTGAGCTAAAGTGTTGAAGGAAATCTTGTTTCAAGAGGGTATGGCAGGACAATACTCCCTGTCAATTGGACAGACAGGTCTGCATGACAGTCACACAGACAGGCCTGTGTAGCAGTCCAGTTACACCAACAAATTTCCACAGCGCTGCCTTAACACTGAGCAAATAATTAAACCTAGGGGAATCGGTTCCCAGGCATCAAAGCTAGAAGTAAAACATAGGTCAGTGGGAGGCTTGCACAGGCTTCTCCCTAACCTCGAGCAAGTCAAAATAATGGAGACAGCCTTACATTCCTAGTGCCAGGACCCGTCTTGGGTCAATAAAATGAGATGAGTCAAGGTAACAGAGGCAGCTGTTTGAATAGATTCACTGGAGAGTCTAAGGCAGCTCTCTGGACCAAGCTGTAAATGAGATAAGATAGAAATAATCACTCCGGTACCACAGTCCTCACTGATTAGAATTTAGGAGACAGGGCTTGAAGGTACTGGGGCCCTCACAGCTTAATCGGAATTAGCATTTCTTTGGCCTCTGACCTAGTTGAAACAAAATTAGTTGCCTATAGACTTAGGCAAATGTTTTACTGCACGTAGGCACATAAAGCCAACCTATATAAGCACTAAGAAAATTGTAACACTTTCAGCCTGGCCAACATGCTGAAACCCCGCCTCTACTAAAACTACAAAAATTAGCCAGGTGTGATGGTGGGCGCCTGTAGCCCCAGCTACTCAGGAGACTGAGGTAGGAGAATCGCTTGAACCTGGGAGGCAGAGGTTGCAGTGAGCTGAGATCATGCTACTGCACTCCAACCTGGGTAACAGAGTGAGACTTCATCAAAGAAAGAAAGAAAGAGAGAGAGAGAGAGAGAGAAGGAAAGAAAGAAAAGAAAGAAGGAAGGAAGGAAGGAAAGAAGGAAGAAAGGAAGGAAGGAAGGAGGGAAGGAAAATTATAACACTTGCAGTTGGTCTGGTGATATTATCTCTGACCTTCTTCCTGTATCCAGTTACAATAATAAATTCCCTTCTTTCCTAGTTTCTCTGCTTCTAGTTATTGGGCCGTGAGAACATGCAGCCAGAACTCGGCACAAGGGGATTGGAACAGAGCCTGTGCTGTGGTGGCCAATACTGCCCTATCTCAGGATGTTACATTCCCAGGATATTCTACAGTGATTCTTGAAAACTAAGAGTGAGAAAGGGGAGGAGACTGGGTTGGTCCAAAGCCAACTGGAGACTGTGCTGCAAATACTGCAGTGGGATCACACTTCATTAGTCCTGTGGCTTGCTGATTTTGCTGAGCATAGTGCCTTCACTGTTCATCTATGTGGGAGCCTGTGTCAGAATTTCCTTCCTTTGGAAAGTTGAATAACATTCCATTGCATATATATTTATATGCCACATTTTGTTTATCCACCCTTCCCTGCATGAACATTTGAGTTGATTCCACCTTTTGGCTATTATGAACAATAATTCTCTGAATGTGGGTATATAAATATTTCTTCAAGTTAATGTTGTCAGTTATTTGGATATATGTCCAATGGTGGAATTGCTGAATTATATAGTATTTCTATTTTTAATTTATTGAGGAATTGCAATGTAGTTTCTTATACTAGGTGACCATTTTACATCCCCAAAACAGTGTCCACAAGATTTCCAATTTCTCCAAATTCTCATGAACAGTTTTCATTTTCTGTTGAGGGAAACCATCCTAATAGGTATAAGGTAGATTTTGTTTTCATTGCCCTAAGAATTAGTGATGTGGAGCATCTTTTTCTGTGTTTATTGGCTCTTCATCAGTCTTTACTGGAGACGGTTAATATTGAGTGTCAAGTTGATTGGATTGAAAGAGGCAAAGTATTGTTCCTGGGTGTGTCTGTGAAGGTGTTGCCAAAGGAGATTAACATTTGAGTCAGTGGGCTGGGAAAGGCAGACCCACCCTCAATCTGGGTGGGCACCATCTAATCAGCTGCCAGTGCAGCTAGGATAAAAGCAGAAAGCAGGCAGAGGAATGTGGAAGGACTAGGCTGGCTAAGTCTTCTGACCTTCATCTTTCTCCCGTGCTGGATGCTTCCTGCCCTCAAACATCAGACTCCAAGTTCTTCAGCTTTTGGACTCTTGGACTTACGCTGGTGGTTTGCCAGGGTATTGTCAGCCTTCAGCCACAAACTAAAGGCTGCACTGTCGGCTTCCTTACTTTTGAGGTTTTGAGACCCGAACTGGTTTCCTTTCTCCTCAGCTTGCAGACAACCTATTGTGGGACTTCACCTTGTGACTGTGTGAGTCAACATTCCTTAATAAACTCCCTTTCATTTATACATCTATCCTATTAGTCCTTTCCCTCTAGAGAACCCTAATACAGGAATGGTCAGGAAGCAATTAATTTCCCTTTACTAATCTATTTTAGATTGTCTTTGTGCAATGAATTTTTTCTGGGTTAGTAAATTAAAGGAGCCTCTAAAACTAGCTACACATTGTGAAGTCCACATTAGAGGCAGTGGAATAAGTGTCCCCCAGCATTTAAAACCCAAAGATTTGAGGGCCCTGAATCTAAGATTTTTTCTAGCTCTCTTGCTTCATAAATATGCCCTCTGATTTTTAATTCTACCTTAGAGAAGGACAATTGTGGGGAAGATATTAATTGTGGGTGAAATGAAGAATGCCCACATCCTGTCCATGTCCTAGTACCTAGAACCTATGAATTCTAACTTACGTAGCAAAAAAAAAAAAAAAAAAAAAAAAAAAATCCCAAAACTTAGTGGATGCAACTTACTTAAGGATTAAGGATTTTGAGTTTGGGAGAACCTCCTAGATCATCCAGATGAGATCAATATAATCACAAAGGTCCTTATAATTGGGAGGGAGGAGGGTGGCAGTTAGATAGGAGCTGGGACAATGGAGAGGGATGCTGGAGTGATGGAAGAACGGGTCATGGAGCCAGGAATGTTCGGGCATCTTTTTTTTGTTTTTTTTGTTTTTTTTTTTGAGACAGAGTCTCACTCTGTCGCCCAGGCTGGAGTGCAGTGGTGCAATCTGGGCTCACTGCAAGCTCCGCCTCCCGGGTTCACGCCATTCTCCTGCCTCAGCCTCCCAAGTAGCTGGGACTACAGGTGCCCACCACAACGCCTGGCTAATTTTTTATATTTTTAGTAGAGATGGGGTTTCACTGCGTTAGCCAGGATGGTCTCGATCTCCTGACCTCATGATCCGCCCGCCTCGGCCTCCTAAAGTGCTGGGGTTACAGGCGTGAGCCACCGCGCCCGGCCTAGGCATCTTGAAGATTAAAAAGGAAAGAATCAGATTCTCTCTCCTAGAGCCTCTAGAAGGAATAGAGCCCTATGTCTCCTTGATATTAGCTCAGTTAGACTTCTCATCTCCAGAACCATAAGATAATAAATTTGTTAGAAGCCAGAAATATTGTGGCAATTTAACCAGTAGCAATTGGAAACTAATGCAAGGGGAAAAATGTCTTTTACGTCTCTGAGTGTGTGGTGTCCTCTGTTCTCCCAAACATTCCATGTTGTTATAATCTGGTGCCAGTTTTGACAAGAGATGTAAACCATTTTCTATGAGAACTTGCACCGGGATTCTTCTTAGGTAGAAAATGTCTAGAGTAAACCCTTTGATTAGCTCTTTTCCAATGTGTGTTGGAGAGTTAAGGGATCAGGTCTCATAGCACCTGATAGAAAGAGGAGGGTTTGTTTGTTTGTGTGTTTGTTTTCATGTTTGGCAGGAAAGTTAGAACACAACCTGACAAGGAAAGACTTAGAGAGATTGGAACCTGAGAAGGAAGACTTAGAGAAACTGGAAGGGAAAGAGAAGATGTGAACAGGGTCAGGGGAAAGCAAGATGTGTTCCTACTCCAAAATATAAAGCAAAGTCATTTACAATTTTTAAAGACTTCGAGAGAGTTATATTTTGAAGAGAAAACCACAGAAGAGGCTAGTTTAAGATTAGGGCCAGCCTGGCATGAGACAGAGGCAGCAGGGAGCTGTGGATTCCACACTGTTTTTATGGTCCCTTCTTCCTATTTATAGGCTTTGGGCTCAACCATGGGATGAAAGTGGCCACGTAGAAGGAACATACTAAAGCCAGACAGACCTGGGCTTCAATCCCAAGTCTGACCATGTGACTTTGGGCATTTGCTGACCATGTGACTTTCGGCAAACCAGTCATGAGCTCTCATAGCTGGTTCTCTCATATGTGAAATGGAGCACTTTGGAAGTCATGGGGTATTGTGAGAGTTTAACCAAATGATGCACCCTGAAGAGTGTATATGTGTGCCCATAAACACACACACACACACATTATACGCACATTTTATATACCCAGTTTTCTTTAAATGCACCCTTGAGTATCTTAGAAAAAGAGGCTATGGAAGATATTATTAACCATATGTCATTTACAAATCAAATTCTTTAATAGTTATTCTACAACTAACCTGTGACTCACTATAGGCAATGGGGTTTCATGTGCATTATTTCCACAATAAAAACTTCCACAAATCCATTCCTGTGTAGCACTAGAAACATAAACAAGATGACAAATGACTATAACACCTTTAAACCAGATTTCCCCTGAGCTCCATCTGTTTAGTGTACACTATTGGGTTCCAAAGGCCGTGGCTACAGGTCTGAGTTCTAAGTCCATTCTTCCCACACCCACAGCCTTCCCCCAGGTCTCATTCTGGCCTCCTGCATGCTGGGAATACAGACCCACCATCCTGCTACTCTCCTGGGAATCCAGCACTAACTACCTGGAAGCTTTGCTTAGTAAACCCTCCAAATGCAACCTCTGACAGAGACCTGGCTGAGGCAGCCAGCAACTTCCCATAAGAAAACCACTGAGAAGGGAGGAAACTTGCAGAACCATGTTGGTGTTGAGGAGATGCACAGTATCACCAGGTTTTATCTTTTCAAACGGTTCCTGTCTCTTTCTTGACAACAATTCATGACCTTGGAAAAGGGAGGAATTAAGGAGAACAAAGGGATGTTTCATGCTTAGGATATAAAAGGAGAAATGGAGATAATGAAAGAGCAGAATTGAGGAACTCTTTGGCATTGTTTGGGTTTCTCTTGCCATGGGCATAGCAGGACAAAGGTGCCAGGGAGAACATCACTTATCATGTTTCCTGCCCTTCATGCCTCAGACTCGTACAAGCACACACACTTCTGATAATATGTTTCTTCTTCTGAAGCACAGTCTGTGGCCCAGCCAGGATCTTTCTCTTAAGTGTCTTTTATAGATAAGTTGGAATAATTTTAGAAACAAGTCAAAGAAATAATAGTAATGGTTTAAGTAATGACAAGAAGTCTGAAGGTTGAAGCACTTAAGGTTGGTACAACAGCTTGGTGACAGCTGAAAGGCCCCAGATTGTTACTACATTTTTGCTTTGCACCTGCATCATCACTGGCTTTTCATTCTTGTTGTAAATGCCCCATGGTCTCAAGAGGATTGCAGCAGCTCTAAGCATCATATCCTCTCTTAACTGTTACAGGAAGAAATGCAAAGCAAAGCTCTTCACTTTCTGTCCTTTTCTGAGGTATAACCATTTTCCCATGATCCCTGCCCACTCCTCTGACATTATCATTTTGGAGCTGATCACATGTGCCCTTAATCCCTGCTCCCATCCTGGGCTGGGAGAAACTCACCACCCTCACCATGTACGGCAAGACACAGTTGGTGCCCTATACACCAAAGGAAGAAGGGGATGACTGTTGCATAGTTGCCAAGAGCTTTGTCACATTTTAAATTTTGCTGTGCTTCTAAGTTAAGTTGTATAGGGAGGAGAATGTATGAACACTTTGATTTGATACAGCTAGAAGAAGCCAGGCTCTGAGGATGAAAACGAAATCAAATTTCTGATTTCTCATATGACATCTTTAGCTTTAAGAATTGTGTAAATGTGGCCTGTGCATTTAAGACCAGGACAGGCTTTCAGTTATGGGAATAAATGAGGAGAGATTTGGAATAGGGTCCTCAACCCAGGACTAAGGTGAAGCTTGCACTACTTTAGACTGCTGGGCTCTGACCCTGGGCTGTGGAGGAAGTAGCTGCTCTCTTGAGCCATGGGGCTGAGGACTTGGGAGGAACCAAATGTCCTGCCCACAGAGCTGCCTGGCAGGGTTTCAGGGAAGGAAACTGCTCATACTTCTATGGGCGCTGCACCAAGCATAGAGTCCACTGCCAGTGTGAAAGTCTCAGACACACGACCCTTAGGGCTGGGCCTGAGCTCCTGGAGCTGGCTGCTCTCAGCTCTGTCCTCACTGATTCTGCATGGCTGGGGCCCTGCTGGAGTCAAAGAGGGAGGAACAGCAAATGTCCCCAGAGTCTTTACTCAGCCAGGCTCTGTTCTGGTTAGAAAGAAAAAGAGCACATGCTAAATAAACAAACTTAAAATTACGTGCATAGGTATACATTTGCAATGTAACCCTTACAAATTAAATATACATATAATATTTTAGATATAAGTAATAAACAAACATAAAATTACATGCATAGGTATATATTTGTAATGTAACCCTTACATATTAAATATACATATAATATTTTAGATATAAATTATATTTATACATTTGGATATACTGTGCATCTATATTAGGAATAAGTATAATATGCACACTTATATGTTAATAGATATAACTTTAATTGTCAGTGTAAGATATGATTTTTAAACTTTGATAAATTGAGCACAAACATTTAAAACCAGCAATGGTTGCACCACCCCATGGCCCCTTCATCACTACACAGCCTGAGGGTCAGGAAGCTCAGGACCAAACCTACATCCATTCTGGGCTGAGCAGTACCTCCCTGCCCATTGCTAAGGACACTGACTGTCCTGACGGGGGTCTGGGGAATCACAGAGCAGCAGGTGCTGGGGAGATGGGCAGTGGGTCTAGACCCCAACTGGAGGGACTTTTGTCCCCAGAGCTCAGGGTGGGCAGGTCCTCCCCTGGTGGCCTTTGTGAGACAGAGTAGCACACATGGCCCAGTGGCTGTGTGGTAACAGGGAGAAACCACTCCAGGGACCATTGGCAGCCTCCCCTCTGCCTGGATTCAGCCCACATCAGGTAGGGTTTGGGGATACAGCCAATGCGGTGGGGAGGAAAAGGCTGGGCTTCCAATCTCAGAGCACAGAGCACAGAGGGAGTTTCCCACAACTCAGTGCACTGGCAGCTCCTCCCATGTAATCTAGGTCATAAATGAGACCTCATTTTAGCCCTAAAATATCCCTGTTGATTTTCCTAGTATTTCTAAGATCAGGCTTATTTCTGGTGTTTACTGTGGGGTTTGTCTGCCATCTAATGGCTGGTTGGTGACATAGCATCTTATAGGATTTTAGATGCTGAGTCCCAGTCAATCTTGACGGTGAGTCTTTTCATGGGTAATGATGAAACAGATCCTATTACTTCCATCAGTAGGCCAGATCCTATAAGGAACACAGAATGACACCTCTCCTTGATAAACCAGTCCCAAAGTTGAGGACAAAGGATATCCAGAAAAGATGTTGCTCACAAAACGATTAGGAATTAGGTTCTGAAATCCATGTGAAATGCTGAAAATGTAGTTTTGGAAGAGAGAAAAAGGGGTGTGAGAGACCCTGCCGGGCATAATGGGCAGGGGCTGGAGAGGAAATCCAAGGTCCTCTTTTCTGGATCTGTCAGCCCAGGCTCATTCCCGTTATTCTGGAAACTCTTCCAGAGCAGATCTGAGGACCACAGTGGTTGTACCAGCTGGAGAGCTTCTGAGGACTCCCAGTTTTCCAGACTAACAGCTGGTGAGATTTATGCTCTGAGCTATAACACAATGAGGGAACACTTGTCAACATTTAGAGCGGTTTTAAGCAAAATAATTTTCTAAGACAATAAAAATGTCTACATTTATGCTGTACAATAGGGTAGCCATTAGTAATATGTGGCTACTGAACACTTGAAATGTAGCTAGTGTAACTGAGAAAACATGTTTTTAATTTTTAATTCTAATTCACATTATTTGTGGCTGGGCACTGCAAGTGTTTACCCTGTGAGAGGATACAGTTTTAGACAATAATAATCAGCAATGTCATCAGGGTACCCAAGCTGCTGAAAGTTAAGGAAGTGTCTGCCCCAAGACCACCGTGCCAAGCTGGGGTGGACCATGGCCAATGTAGACAAAGCACATGGGTGGATCTTTGAAACATTCCCTGGATTCATCTGCTTCTAGGCTGGTGATGGAAACTCTCTCTCTGTCTTGGAGATACTGAGGGAGAAGCTGGAATCTGGGGCCCACAATGTTGCCACTGGAATCTGAGGTGGAAACAAAACACAAATCTTCCCCAGCGTTAATGATGTCTCACTCTACAGGCCTCCCAGAGACTCGTGTTGGCTGATCAAGTGGGAGATGAATGCTGGGCTTGCTGAGCGATGGTCTGTATCTCAGCACGGGACATAAGAACCCTGTCACATGGAGCTCCCATAGCTGAAGCCAGGACCCAAGGGCCAGAGCCTCAGGTCCAGTGCTTCCTCTGCCTCAGGTGATCCCACCCTAAAGGCAGCAACCAACCCACTGATAAGGGCTTGAGTGGCAGGGAGGGGCTTTGTGGAGCCTGCAGACTTACAACAGGGATGCAAAACTGAACTTCCAGCTTCTGAGCCAGGGAACATTTCATGTTATGGGTGTGACCCAGGTCAAGGTGTTTGATGAAAGATATTAGTATAAATTTTCTCCTGAAAGGAATAAAATCACAGAAGACATCTTATTATTATGGTACTGGTTGGCGTTTTCAATGCACAATGGTTTATCTGAAATCTCCCAGTCCCTGCCCTTCTCGTGATGATCCTATGGTCTTTGCTGTTCCTATGGTCACTTGGCTGCCTCCTCACCGTTCAGAAGCATCTCCAGTATGACCCCGAGACCTTCCCTGGTCCGCACAAATAAATGGTCTCGACCTCCAGATACCACATGCCACTGCCTGAATTTTATACAATTTATCAGCTATTGAAATGATTCTTTTCACTTTCACTGTGTAGGTATTGTTCTCTGAATGGCTCATTTCCCTACTGAATATCAGTACTTGGGATCAAAATTGTCTTATTTACTCAAATGCTCCTAACCCTCACATGATGGCTTTGAATTGTTCCTGAAAACTCTGATATTATGTTAAAATCCATTAAATGCAAAAATATGTTTATTTTGTATTGAAGAAGATATCATGGCTTCCCCTCAGCTAAAGACAATTAACTACTTTTATAGTTGAAAAAGATCCACTGGACATGAAAAAAACACATATATAGGAGTAACAAGCATCATCTTGAAATTAGATAAACTCGATTTGCATGTAAGATGTACAGTAGGCAGAAGAAAGGCCCTCACAGTGGGAGGGGCTTGATGGAGAGGGTCAGGGTGTCTGTCCCTGGAAGGTGGGGGAGGGTGTGATGAGTGACCTCAGGCAAGCATCCAATATCAGGACCAGACATGACTATGAGTAATTCCTTTTTCCATGGGTTTTGATACAAGAGGAAAGTCCTGGTGGGGAAGCTTTGGGAATAGTCATAGCATGAGTGGAATACGGGTTGGAAACAGCATGTTTCTAAACACATACAAACAGCTCACAGACATTCAAACAAAAGTATCTCACAAAATGTTACCTCTTCCTCACCTTTTCTTGCCATTTGGGTTTAACCAATCATGGCACACAATTTGAGTTTCTCTACATGAGGGTCTGCAACTTGAAACTACCCTGTGAAAGAACTGGTGACTGTCTGCCTGATACCATAATGTAGAAATACAATTTCTTGTAGTAGATCATTGCACTTTGGTGTAAAATATATGTGATAAAAAATGTATTGAAAACCGATATAACTTTTTGTGACCAAATACGGTGAAAGTCACTCACAAAAATATCACCAAATCTGATATGTCTGTTTTCTCAATGACTACATTGTATGCCAAAAATTATTTTTGAATGAGTGACTTAATGTGCACAGGAAACAAAGTAAAACAAATAAGCTGAGTTGCTCTTGGTATTAAAAAATTCTAGGAGCAGGATACTGGTCCTATAATCAAGAATGGTGAAATTTTTTTTTAAAATAAGAAAATTCAAACTGCAGTTTGGATTTTGGAGGTGGATGAAAGAGGACATAAACAATACCTCTGATACACAGAAAAGAATATTTACTCTCAGGGTGGAGGGTTGCCCCCCTGTATTTCATATGTCAGGGCAAGATATAACATAAAATGCCCATTGAGTTTTCCACCTCATCTGAGCTCCCAGACTATTTTCTCTGACATGTTAGTGCCTTGGTACACTCAACTTTTGGTGAAGTTATTCTTATTAGGGAATCGAGGATTCTTAATTTCAACTTCCTTGGGCCTGGAATCTTGTCCTGCTCCCTAGACTGGCAACAAAGGGCTCTGGATCCTTCTGGTTTTTTATTCCAGGTAAATGTTCTTTTTGGAAAAGTCTCCTTTTCAAAATTCCAAGAGAAATGTCTATAGTTACATTTTCCGTGGACCAGTTTTCAGAAATCGCAACCCAAATATTCAGCATTTCCTGAATTCTCAGTTGAATGCCGCACTGGTGAAAGTGAACCTTAACGTTAATCTGACTTAACAAACATCATGCTTCAGGGGGCTGCTTTGGAAATAGAATTAATTTGTCACACCCGTGAACCCACAATAACTGAAACCTCAATCCATGGGATCTTCTGTCACTATAGCTCTAGGCCATCACCTGCTTGTTTCCTAATCTTTACCCTTTTAAACTCTTTTGCCATAAATGAGAAACTGTAGCTCTGAAGAGAAATCTAAAGTTTTTACCAACTTGTAAAAGATAGTTTATGGAAAGAAAAGGGAGAGGTGACCTTCAACAACTGTCCATGTATTTTGAAAGTAAATATGGATAAAGACGAAAGTATGTCATTATGGTCTTAATTTGCATTTTCCTGATAATTAGTGATGTGGAGCATTTTTCTATGTATTTGTTGGCTGTTTGTATATCTTCTTTTGAGAATTGTCTGTTCATATTCTTTGCCCACTTTTTGGTGGGATTATTTGTTTTTTTCTTACTGATTTGTTTGAGTTCCTCATAGATTATGGTTATTCCTTCAACAGATGCACAGTTTGTGAATATTTTCTCCCACTTTGTGGGTTGTCTGTTTGCTATGTAGAAGCTTTTTAGCTTAGTTAGGTTCCATTTATTTATTTTTTGTTTTTGTGGCATTTCCTTTTGGGGTCTTAGTCATGAATTCTTTCACTAAGCCAAGGTCTAGAGGAGTTTTTCCAATGTTATCTTCTAGAATTTATATGGTTTCAGTTCTTAGATTTAAGCCTTTGATTCATCTTGAGCTGATTTTCGTATAAGGTGAGATATGAAGATCCAGTTTTATTCTTCTACCTGTGGCTTGCCAGTTTTTCCAGTACCAATTATTGAATAGGGTGTCCTTTCCCCACTGTTTGTTATTGTATGCTTTGTTGAAGATCAGTTGGTTATAAGCATTTGGGTTTATTTCTGTGTTCTCTATTGTGTTCCATTGATCTATGTGCCTATTTTTATACTAGAACCATGCTGTTTTGGTAACCATAGCCTTGAAATACCACCTTACTCATGCAAGAATGGCCATAATTAAAATGTCAAAAAATAATAGATATTGGCGTGGATGTGGTGAAGAGGGAACACTTTTACACAGCTGGTGGGAATGTAAACTAGTACAACCACTATGAAAAACAGTATGGAGATTCCTTAAAGAACTAAAAGTAGAAATACCATTCAGTCCAGCAATCCCAGTACTTATTTTTCTTATCTACCCAAAGAAAAAAAAAGTTATTATAGGAAAAAGAAACATGCACATGCATGTTTATTCCAGCACATTTCTCCATTTCAAAAATATGGAACCACCATAAGTGCCAATCAAGCAACGAGTGGATAAAGAAAACGTGGTGTATATACACCACGAAATACTTCTCAGCCATAAAACAGAACAGAACAAAATAATGAACTTTGCAGCAACATGGATGAAGCTGGAGGCTATTATTCTAAATGAAGTAACTCAGGAATGGAAAACCTATATGTTTTCATCTATAAGTGGGAGCTAAGCTATGAGGATGCAAAGGCGTAAGAATGATATAATGGACTTTGGGGACTGGGGAGGAAGGATAGAAGGGGAGGTGAAGGCTAGAAGACAACATATTGGGCACAGTATGCACTGCTCAGGTAACAGGTCCACCAAAATCTCAGACATCACCACTAAAGAACTTATCCATGTAACTAAAAACCACCTATACCCCCAAAAACTATTGAAATAAATAAAATAATTCATTTTTAAAAAGATGAAAGTATGCAGCAGTGACTCTAGTTTCCTCTCTGCTGGGTGAGCCAGACTTCATTGTATTGGTTAACTCATTGCCTCCAAAGCACCTGTAACAATCAGAAGTATTCTAGGGTATCACCCAGTTTCTCTGTTCAGCCAGGCTGAACTAGTTTTTGTTCTGGGTTGTAACACAGTGTGAGGTAAACTACTACTCTGATGACAGTAATACGTTGCAGCATCTTCAGCTTCCAGGCTATTGATGGTGAGGGTGAAATCTGTCCCAGATCCACTGCCACTGAACCTCGAGGGGACCCCTGAGAAGGACTGGGAAGCATACTTGATGAGGAGCTTTGGAGACTGATCTGGTTTCTGCTGGTACCAGTGTAAGCTACTACCAATGCTCTGACTGGCCCGGCAGGTGATGGTGACTTTCTCCTTTGGAGTCACAGACTGAAAGTCTGGAGACTGAGTCAGCACAATTTCACCCCTGGAGGCTGAAAATATACAGCAAACATCAGTACAACATAAATATCTGTGTATGAAAATCACCTTTAATCTTGCTAGACATGAAGAAAGAATATGCATTACATTTTTAAAATTAGGATTTTAAAATCAAGCCAAAAATCACCTATTGCAGAGTCCCCAATGAAAGAAATTACAGATTGAAAGAATATCTCCGCCTAGGTTTGTGGAAATATTCTCACCTGGAACCCAGAGCAGCAGAAACCCAATGAGTTGTGATGGCAACATCTTCCTGCCTTGACTTGTCAGTTTTGCTCATGCCACATCCCAGAGAAAGAACCTCTTTTAAGATACCGAGAGGCAGGGCCTCTTCACATATAGGAGGAACGATACATGCAAATTATGGGGATGTCCTGCTGGTTTAAATAAACAGAAATCACTGTTGCCAGGAGAGCGCCCTCCCGGCCCCTTCCATGAGGGGTGTGAAGCGCCCTCTGCTGGCACCTGCAGACGAGCTCCGCTGAGGCTCTGGCAGGGCTTGACCAAGACCCCAGGGCACAGCTGCAGAGTGAAGGCAGAGTCCATCGCCATCTCTGGGAGAGTCTGCAGTTATCTGGGGTGAATAACAGCTCACATCCTCAGTCTCGTCCCAGGGCTATGTTAACTCTCCTGCTCTCTGTCACAATGTAGGCTGAAAAAGCTTTGTGAACGTTCCACAAAGCATCAACACTATATTGATGACATCATGGTAATTAGACGTGATGAGCTGGACATTGTAAGAACTCTGAATTTCTTGTGAAAACACATGTGCTCTAGAGGGTGGGATGCACGCCCCAAAACATCAAGGGCTTGTCACATTAGAGAAGATGTCAAGTGTTTATAAAAGGAGTATGAGTCATGCTGGCTTATCCCCTCCAAAGTAAGGAAAAATAATTGCACCTTGTACTTCCAACCACTAGCAATGAAGCACATTACTGGTTAAGCCATCCTAGAGTGTTGACAATGCATTTTGCACTTGGGTTTACTATACCAACCCATTTATCAGCTAACTTGGAAGGCTGTCTTTTATGAATAAACTCTGAGAAAGAAAATATTCTGTAGTAAGTTTGAGTTTTAATGCAAATGCCTCTGTCACTTCAGCCATGAGATCCAGCACATTGCCTGGTGCTAGATAATCTATATTAGATGAGGAAACTCTGTAAACCTCCATGCAAGCACCAAAAAAGAGTCACAGAAAAAAATCTCTACAGTTCTTGAGCAAGATCCTGAAATGCCCCCAAAATAAACAAACAAACAACACACAAACAACTCACTACTCAAAATGCAGCTCTCAAAATATCACAGGGTCCATGTAGGCATGTCCATGAGTAATTGACTGTTTGACTAAATAATTAAGTGACTAAGCTGCCCCTCATAAACTGAGAATGTCACTCTCACCAATTTTAAGATCAGGTGAAGCTCAGCACCATTCAATATTGGGATGCAGATGGTAGTTTAGTGACTGGGTTCAAGCAGATTCAGAAGGCATGCTTCATTTCCATAGACAGATGTTCCAGTTCCTTATATCACTTTTCTCTCTCAACTTAACACCTCTGCATCAGCTCTCTCTATGATATCATGGGTTTTCCTGATCAGCTAATGCCAGAGAGAGAATACAAAAAAAGAAAAAGAAAAAAAAAAGAAAATAAGCAAAAACAAAGAAAATCAAAGCAAAAATGAGAACAAGCTGGGCTTCCTCTTGAATGGCTTGGCATCATATGTTTGTGTAAGTAAGTGTGGACTGTGTCCACACTATGGCAACGGTCATGCATGGCTGTCAAATACTACCTTGAGTTATCTTACATCTGAGCAGAGCACATGTTCATCAAATTAGTAGATAGAGAAGTGTCTGGAGTCAAGTATACATATAGATTTCTGAATAGCTGGCTGGCTAAGGTCCTGGAAAAGAAGATCATAGCAATGAGCTGGGCAAACGTTTTTCCCAAATGTGTGAAACTCATAAACCTATTCATCTGTGTGTGTTCTGAAAAGTGTATACAAAATGTAGCCAGTTCTTATCTCCCTCTGTTTTACTTTTCACTGCACCACCTTTGATCCCTGTTATTCATAACGGCAGCTTTTAAGTCACCAGAAATCTGTGCAGACATTATTTTAGCAATTCTATCATTCCATCACTTCCAGGAGTCCACTAGTAACTTTCAGCTGGTGTACCACTTGCCCCAGCTAGAGACCTCAGTTTGAACTAACTTGCTCTGTTCATTTCCTGCAGAATTCATCACATTTAGCTGGAAACACTGAAGGATCTTGCTTGACTCTCCACCTCAACTCAAGTCCACTCCCTTCGACTGCAAGCTGCAAGCTGACATCCTCATTAAAACCCCAGATCTGCAATTCATGCTGACAGAGCGGAGATGGAAGGGAGAAATCCCAGGCAAAAGGCTACAGACATAATTTCCTTCCTTACTCAAAACATATTCTTTCATGTTATGAATAGTATACAGTATTAAATGTTTTATACTTTGCCAATTGTCAGAGCGCTGAAACCGATTTGATATTTTTTAGCTTTATGCTTAATTTGTCTTTCTCATATATTTTTGCTGAGAGGATTTAACAATCTCTCTGTGACACAATAAAGAGAGATGCCTTCTAAAATGAATTTTAATGAATATGACAGCAACACTGAAAGGACATAGATATATGTTAAAACATAAGTAATTCTGAAGTAAAGAATTTGAACTCAATACCCACGGTTTGAAGAGAAATCGTGCACTTAACAAATATTAACTCTTGGCTGGCACGGTGGCTCATGACTGTAATGCCAGCACTTTGGGAGGTGGAGGTGGGCAGATCACCTGAGGTCAGGAGTTTGAGACCAGCCTGGCCAACATGGTGAAACCCCGTCTCTACTAAAAATACAAAAAATTAGCCAGGCTTGGTGACGCACACCTGTAGTCCCAGCTACTCAGGGGGCTGAGATAGGAAAATCGCCTGAACCTGGGAGGCGGAGGCTGCAGTGAGCCGAGATCGCGCCACTGCACTCCAGCCTGGGCAACAGAGTGAGACTCTGTCAAAATAAAATAAAATAAAATAAGATAAAATAAAATAAAATAAAATAAAATAAAATAAAATAAAATAAAATAAAAAATAAAATAAAAAAAATATATATGTAACTCTAATCACTAGATTTCACATTTTCAGGGAATGCACTACAAATCTGTAAAATATGCCTTATGCATATTCTAGAATTGACCAAGTAAGTGAATATTCTCTACATAATGGGAGCCAGGATTGTCTTTAACAGATGATTGAAACACAAATATGAAAACATGATGAATCTTGTGAAATTGTTTCATAAGAATCCATGTCCTTTGTTATGTTTTAATTATTTTTATTTATATATTTTAATAACATTGAAATGTTTTTAGACTTAAAATTTGCATAATATAATAAGATTGTTCTCATGTACTCTTCCACTAGCTTCTTCTGTAATGTCAACATCAAGCGTAACTATAGGGTAAGTATCAATACCAAAGCATTAACATAAATGCAATGCTATTAATTAAGTAATTTGAAATCCCCTCTGTATTTCACTGATTTTTTCAGTAATCTCCTTCTTTATGTTCCAGAAAAAAATCCAAAATCCCACACTGCATTTAATTATTGTGTCCTTAATATTTCCCAAATTGTGACAGTTTTTTAGTTTTGTCTTTCATGATTTTGAAACCTTTGAAGTGTACTGGCAAGTTATTTTGGAGAATCCCTTAAGTTGCATTTGTTTGAAGTCTTCTACTGATTAGATTCATATCTTTTATTTTTAGCAAAAAAACAAAAACAAAAAAATGGGGTGCAACCTCAGTGCACAGCAAGAATTACAAAATGTCAACATATCCTATTAATGGTGATCAATTAATATGAACAATAAAACCCTTTTTTAAAAAAAAGTTTTATTATACTTTAAGTTCTGGGATACATGGGCAGAACGTGCAGGTTTGTTACATAGGTGTACACATGCCATGGTGGTTTGCTACACACATCAACTTGTCATCTACATTAGGTATTTCTCCCAATGCTACTGTTCCCCTAGCCCCCCACCCCCCAACAGGCCCTGGGGTATAACATTCTCCTCCCTGTGTCCATTTGTTCTCACTGATCAACTCCCACTTATGAATGAGAACACGCGGTGTTTGGTTCTGCGTTCTTGTGTTAGTTTGCTGAGAATGATGGCTTCCAGCTTCATCCATGTCCCTGCAAAAGACATAAACTCATCCTTTTTTATGGCTGCATAGTATTCCATGGTGTATATGTGCCACATTTTCTTTATCCAGTCTCTCATTGATGGGCATTTGGGTCGGTTCCAAGTCATTGCTATTGTAAACAGTGCCGCAATAAACATATGTGTGCATGCATCTTTATAGTAGAATGATTTATAATCCTTTGGCTATATACCTAGTAATGGGATTGCTGGGTCAAATGGTATTTCCGGTTCTAGATCCTTGAGGAATCGCCACACTGTCTTCCACAATGGTTGGACTAATTTACACTCCCACCAACAGTGTAAAAGCATTCCTATTTCTCCACATCCTCTCCAGCATCTGTCTGAGGCCTCTGTTCTGTTCCATTTGTCTATATATCTGTTTTGGTACCAGTACCATGCTGTTTTGGTTACTGTAGCCTTGTAATATAGTTTGAAGTCAGGTAGCGTGATGCCTCCAGCTTTGTTCTTTCTGTCTAGATTGTCTTGGCTATGTGGGCTCTTTTTTAGTTCCATATGAAATTTAAAGTATTTTTTTCTTATTCTGTGAAGAAAGTCAATGGTAGCTTGATGGGGGTGGCATTGAATCTATAAATTACCTTGTGCAGTATGGCCATTTTCACGATATTGATTCTTCTTATCCATGAGCATGGAATGTTTTTCCATTTGTTTCTGTCCTCTCTTATTTCCTTGAGCAGTGGTTTGTAGTTCTCCTTGAAGAGATCCTTCACATCCCTTGTAAGCTGTATTCCTAAGTTTTTTATTCTCTTTGTAGCAATTGTGAATGGGAGTTCATGCATGATTTGGCTCTCTGTTTGTCTATTATTGATATATAGGAATGCTTGTGATTTTTGCACATTGATCTTGTATCCTGAGACTTTGCTGAAGTTGCTTATCAGCTTAAGGAGATTTGGGGCTGAGACCATGGGGTTTTCTAAGTATACAATCATGTAATCTGCAAAAAGAGACAATTTGAATTCCTCTCTTCCTATTTGAATATGCTTTATTTCCTTCTCTTGCCTGATTGCCCTTCCCAGAACTTCCAATACTATATTGAATAGGAGTGGTGAGAGAGGGCATCCTTGTCTTGCGCCAGTATTTGACAAGAATGTGTCCAGTTTTGCCCATTCAGTATGATCTTGGCCGTGGGTTTGTCATGAATAGCTCTTATTATTTTGAGATACATTCCATCAATACCTAGATTATTGAGAGTTTTTAGCATGAAGAGGTATTGAATTTTATCAAAGACTCTTTCTGCATCTATTGAGATAATCATGTGGTTTTTGTCATTGGTTCTGTTTGTGTGATAGATTACATTTATTGATTTGCATATGTTAAGCCAGCCTTGCATCCCAGGGATGAAGCCACCTTGATCATGGTGGATAAGCTTTTTGATGTGCTGCTGGATTCGGTTTGCCAGTATTTTACAGAGGATTTTCGCATCAATGTTTATCATGAATATTGGCCTGAAATTTTCTTTTTTGTGTGTGTCTTTGCCAGGTTTTGGTATCAGGGTGATGCTGGCCTCATAAAACAAGTTAGGGAGTATTCTTTCTTTCTCTATTGTGTGGAATATTTTCAGAAGGAATGGTACCAGCTTCTTTTTCTACCGGTAGAATTCGGCTGTGAATCCATCTGGCCCTGGACTTTTTTTTGGTTGGTAGGCTATTAATTACTGCCTCAATTTCAGACTTTGTTGTTGGTCTACTCAGGGATTCAAATTTTTCCTGGTTTAGACTTGGGAGGGTGTATATGTCGAGGAATTTATCCATTTATTCTAGATTTTCTAGTTTATTTGTTTAGAGGTGTTTATAGTATTCTCTGATGGTAGTTTGTATTTCTGTGGGATCAGTGGTGATACCTCCTTTATCATTTTTTATGTGTTTATTTCATTCTTCTCTCTTTTCTTCTTTATTAGTCTGGCTAGTGGTTTATCTATTTTGTTGCTCTTTTCAAAAAAACCAGCTCCTGGATTCATTGATTTTTTTTGAAGAGTTTTTCGTGTCTCTATCTCCTTCAGTTCTGCTCTGATCTTAGTTATTTCTTGTCTTCTGCTAGCTTTTGAATTTGTTTGCTCTTGCTTCTCCAGTTATTTTAATTGTGATGTAAGGGTGTCGATTTTAGATGTTTCCTGCTTTCTCCCGTGAGCATTTAGTGCTATAAATTTCCCTTTAAACACTGCTTTTGCTGTGTCCCAAAGATTCTGGTTTCTGAAAGGAGGTCTTGGACAAAGCTAATTAAGCCAGCTGCTTCTATCACTCTTTGTATTTGGTTATTTGCTGACTTTCTGAGAAATAACCTATTCCTGTCTGAAACTATTTTTTTTTATGTTGCTTAGGCTTTAACCCTCTTCACACTTACTGTACAATAGAGAATATTGAACAAATAAATGAGCTGGCTTTTAAATGGCAAATGTTACTATGATGGCCATTTACCATTTAAATGTTAATAGCCTGAAAAAAAACCCAGAGGAATGAGATTTATTAAAATGTAGTGGTATCAACAAATGAACAGCAGTTACTGAATCAACTGTTTGGAAAAACATAATTTTCTAGCACTTGGAATACTGCAAGAATCAAATGGATAGGAACAGCTTGCCCTGAGCTACTTCTGCTGAGGAGACTGAGATACCATTTGTACCATTTTAGTATGCACACAGTTCAGACACTCTTTCTGGAAATACGAGGTTCTGGTCCCTCAGTTAAAGAACATGTGGCTACATATGCATGACAGTTATTTCTAGAAATATGTACTTCTCCAAATTTTTAAGTTATTATCTGAAAATTTAATAGAATTTTGTCTTTGGATGGTAATGAAACAAAAATGTTAGAAGAGAATGGAAACTTTTGGGTATATATAGAGAGGATATCAGAGAAGGGCCAACCATACTTTACTGGATACAGTTAATCTGACTGGGGCTTTTGGAGGAAAAGACTTAGAGAAGAAAAGTGTTTGAAGAAGTCATACGTGTTTAAAAATATAGGCACAACTTGAAAACCCTTGCAAGAAAGAATAGATGACTTCACAAAAAGGTGAAGTGACTTTTCAATTTGTCAAATCACACTCGTACATATGCTTTTTCTTTCTCTTTTATGCCCTATACCTCTGAGGTATTAGAAAGGCCTGAGTTTGAAATAATTTGTCCCGTAGAAATCCAGAAAGTAAGAGAATGAACAACATCTTTAGCACAGAAGCATGCCAATCCTGGGAAAAAACTGAGATTTGGTTTTTGAGTTATGGCAGATGTAGTAGAAAAAATGAGAAAAGGTTAAAAAGACAGAATAAAGATTATGTAAGAAAGGACAGCAATATGACATTCTAACCTTTCATAGGATAAAGTTATGATAATGAATGATGAGAAGAAATGCAATGGACCCATCTGGGTGGGCATGATTGAAGGTCTGAGCAAGTTAGTATAGATCAAGAACAAATCATTAGCATTTTAAGAATTGTGAGTCAGTTAGTGAAAATCCCATCTCAGAAACTAATGTGGCTATAGATGAAACATCCTTGGATTAGAATTAAGATTGTTTCTCCTAACTCTCTTCTAAATTAGTCTAGTGATGATAATAATGATCATTACAGTGCTAAATGTTATCATAATAGTAACAACAAAATTAATACCAGCACATATAATGATTAGATACTATTGTAAATGCTTTACCTTGTATAAATTGTAAAGAGACCTTTTAGGTAGATTCTATTATTGCCAAAGTTTCACATAAGCAAATTTACTAATGGCACATAATCTATAAGGATTAAAGCTCTGTCTCCAACACAATGGATTTGATTTCAGGGCTTGCCAAGATAACGTCTTGACAGTTAGATAAATATTGTTGACTCTATTTCCAGAATGAATGAAGATCCAATTGAAACTTAGAGCAGCATTAATAAAACTGCTTCCTTGATACCTAAGAGAAAGGAAGAAAAAGCAAACGATTTTAACTGATTAAAGGAAAGGAGCAGCAGTATATGAAATGAGATTCAGGGGGTGTAAGCAGAGGTTCTGGGAACTATTAAGGAGAAGAGAACCTGACTCTGGATTGATATAAGCATTGCACAGAATCAAGCGGTGTGTAGATTAGAGGATCACCCAAGGAGTTGTCCCCTGCCTATATGGACAGCATCATTGTCTGTTACCTGCATGGACAGCATGATTGTCTGTCTTCAGGGAAATGGCATTGGTAACCTGAAGGGTCAGAGCCTGGGTGCTTCTCATCTGTGCAGTTGTGGTCACCCCTGCACCTGCAGCACTGTGGGTACTTGAGTGTTGCTCTTTGAGGAAGCTTCAGGGCCCTCAGAAAAGATCCCTAAGCAGCAAGTGAAAGGTGTACTTGGGAGATAAAGTTCCAATAACTCTTCATTCCAACCATATTCTGTCATGCACCAGGGAAAACAACTAGGCATATTTAGGGTAGAAACAAAAGAAATGGGACCACACAACTTAATTTAGTTCCTACAAGTCTTGTACCACACACCATTCACTGAATCTAGATAATTGGTGAGACAGGAAGACACAGGGATATAAGACAGGAAGACACATGATATATGTGATCTAAGATAGAAATTCTACACTCAGGCTAAGCTAACAGCCTTTTCTGACATGACCACCTGGGTGAAAGCTGACCAATATAATATTCACACATCCAGTCATATAGATAGATGCATGTTATCAAATCTGATAGCATAAATATAAATATTTAGTCATCTATTTATAAAGACACTTAGAGGAAATTAAAGCTAAATGATATGAATTAAGTGAAATTCACCTCACTTATGGAAAAAGTGCACTTACGGAAACATGCACTTATCCACTGCTCAAAACTCAGCGGATAATAAAACTAAGCAGATATTTTCTTGTTAATAGATGTTTATGATAACAATGATGTGGCTGATCAAGGAAGAGCTTAGTGGAGTGGTTCTTCTGCCTCTAGATTGTGTTTCATTTGGGATCAAGGAAGGGCCTAGCCAAGACACAACATTTGTATGGAAGGCAGCAAAAAGGAACACAATTTTCAAACAAAACTGACCAGGCAAATGGTATCCTAATGTTCTCTAAAACAGTGAACACAATTTAATTTATTCTTTTACTTTGTTAAGTCCTAAAGTTTCTAAAAACGTTTACTGCATTTAACTATCAAAGTATTTGATCCATTGATAAAAAATAATTGTTTTTCAACTTTTAGAATATTAAAAATATTTTTGAATGTAATTTTGCATTAATTAGAAATAAAGCAGCATATATTTTTAAGTGGTTTTAACATAAATGTTCTCACTGTGGGGGAAAAAAAAATCTTTAGCTAAAGTAAATGTCTTCTAAAACTTGGCTTCTTGAAACACCCGTACGTTACCTCTTAACTAGTTGAAGTGCAGGTTATCATGCAACAAGGTCTAAAGCACATCTGCTACTTTGCATTTGTACTGTGTTCATAGTGACGCTGAGAATGCCACTGGAATCTGGACAAATTTTAAGTAGCAAAGTGCTCTTATATTAAGGAAAAAGTATGCTACGTGCACCTATAGGTGTTCTTGTTTGTTTTGTCAATTTTTTTTTCATTTGTCAAAGGATTGCTATGTATTTCAAGCAATGTTGTCATTTTTTTCTTTTACTTTACGACTTAATAAAATTTTCTTGCAATAATACCAAACTTTCTAATAATACATGTAAGAACATCCAAATGTATTCTGAAGCCACCCCATACCTGGAAAATTCTGAGATTTTGGGAAATACTTATCTCACTTGGCTGTAATTCCTCATATTCACCATGATTTCTAAAAGCACCTTTCCTGAAACACATTAAACCCTCTATGGTTTCTTGTAGAGTTACTCAAAGAGAAGACCTCTCATCATATTTGAAGGTAAGAAGAAGGCGATTCAATATTCTTTGACACCGGTAGGCAAACATGTTCACTGAGATAAGGACTGGAGAATCACCTGGTGAGGTGCTGCAACAACTGATAGCATCAGCATCTTCGCATACGGACTTCCTAGACAAAGAAGACTATATGGTTAGATAGCCCATGCCTTTAGCGGCTGATGAACTCTGGCTTCTGGCAGACCTCCAGAGACTCCCGTGTTTCTAGTGTCAGCTTCCCTAACTACCACACTCCCAGTTTTGTATATTCAACTCTAATTCCCTGTATTAAAACAATGCCTTCTGGCAATCTGTAGAGTGGTTTCTCTTTTAATCTATGACCCAGATGGATGCAATAACACAGATTCTTCAGGTATCGTAAATGCTATCCCTTATTAAATCAGGAGAGATAGTGTCATGTCTGTGCTGCTGGGGCTAAGCAGGAAGAAAAAGAGTTAGAATGCAGATGAGACTTCTGGCCATTCCTACAAAAACCTTTAAATCTTGGCTGCACCTGAGAAACACTCTCAGCAGATGGAGGCACCAGTGGAAGCACCTGGGGCAGCCATGAGTCATACTTCTGCTTCCCTGGGGGTTTATTTTATGACCTGTAACACTCTAGGATGGCTGCTGTAAGTCTATAGACAGCAATAAGTTATAACATCTTCAGGTTGCAGGCTCCTGATGGTGAGAATGTGTGAAATGTGTCCCAGACCTACTGCCACTGAACCGTGACGGGACCCCAGATTGCAAACTGGATGCAGCATAGATCAGGAGCTTAGGAGGATTCTCTAGTTTCTACTGATACTAGCTTAAATAATTGCAAATGCCCTGACTCGCCCAGCAAGTGATGGTGACTCTCTCTCCTACAGATGCAGTCAGGGAGGATGGAGACTGAGTCATCTGGAAATTACATCTGACTCCTGGGACATAAAAACAAATAATCCACACAACTATTTATAAGATGATTTCCCTGAAAGGCCAGGCTGTACTGAGCACATTGGCTGAGTAAATTCCTAGTGTTCTCCATCCGTACCTGGGAGCCAGAGCAGCAGGAGCCCCTGGAGCTGAGTGGGGACCCTCATGTCCATGCTGTGTCCTGACTGAGACTGACTCCTGCACAGGGTGTGACCAGCCTATTAAGAAGTCTTCAGAACAGGGGGTTGTGCTCTGGGAACATGCAAATCAGCAGGGAATGGAGCAGGCTGGGCACAGCTGCAGGACTGGTTCATGGATAAGTATCTTAGATCCAGATAAAACTTAATAAATATTCATACTCTTATTTTTCACATTTTCAGCTTGGCCCAGGGCATCCCAGCCTAGCTCAGTAGCAAGAATGTGAATCGTTTTTCTTTTTACTCCCATAAGAACAGTAACATAAAACCCTGTGAATGCTCCAGTCCTGGAGGAGAATGTGTGCCAAGAACAAGTGTAAAGTACAACTGGGGAAAGGGAGATAAGCAATGTGTTAACACCACCAAATATTCTCCCATTAAATATATACTAGTAACTGCTAAGCCAAACAATACCAAGAATATACCAGTGCTATGTTGTCATGTATCAGCCTCAGTTGTGTGACTGGTAGGCTGAATACATCTGGTTGACAAATGTATGCAAAGGAGAGAGGATTGAGATGAGCTAAGTCACCTTTCCCTTCCTCCTTCCTCCTGTCTCCTGGCTCAGAGGGCACTTGCATCTTCTGTAGGTTCTGCCCATGCTAAGGCTGCGACTGCTGAAGTGATCTTATGTGTGATGCCTGAGGTGTAGCTTCATACTAATCCCCTGAGTTCACCAACATCTTCCTGTTACATAGATTTAGAGAATATACCCTGTCTACTCCTCAGTGAAGGAACTAATTTGGGCAGCTGGGACAATCCAAGCAGGAGGCTTTTGTTTGGTGCTGAACCATTGTGGGAGGATATTGTAGAGTGTGGTGGCAGTTGTAATAGCCAAGATCCTCAGCCTCCACCCTACTGATCTTAAGCATAAAATCTGTCCCTGACCTGCAACCACTGCAAACTCACAGTTATGTGGTGCGTCACACAGGGCCGTAAGTCTTCAGTGACTCAATTGTTAGTGAAGTTCTTGTCCAAATGTATTTCAGGTCGTATCACAAATGCCTATTTAACCATAGGATATAGACCAGCTTCCAAAGGTTGAAACTAGTCCTGTGATATATCTGGGGATGACTGGTCTACTCTCTCCTCCCACTGGGGAGAACCTGTGTGGGAAGGCAGAAAACTGATTGGAAGTCCTACAGATCAGGAGCTGTGGAGAGTGGCCTGGCTTCTGCAGGAACTAATACAAATAGGTGTATCCATTACCATGTAAAAGGTTCTGACTAGACCTGCAGGAGATGGAGGCCGGCTCTCCATTGGTGACGGGCAGAGAGAGTGGAGTCTGGGTCATCACAATATTCCCACCGGATCCTAAAGTAATATAAAAAAGAAGTACAATGTTATGTAAATCATGAGACATTATCATAATTTCTCTACAATTATTTAATGCTAAATAATTGTATTGCGGCGCGTGTGTGTGTGTGTGTGTGTGTGTGAGTGTGTGTGTAATTTTGATTCATGCACCAAAAAAATTTAATTAAAAAAAAAACAGACATTTTGAAGGCCCAAGTTGCCCTTTGGAAGTCACTTATGCTACCCTCCTCTTTCTATGTCAGAATCTGCACCAGAGCACAGGTCTTTGCTTTTTCTGGAATCTTCCTCACTCTTTCACATATAAAAGTGCCACCATACATTTTATCCTGGAGCACAAGACACGTGCATCCAACACGTGGACAGAACACACATGGGTGACAGTGGGGCCCCCAGAGCTCACCCTCCCACCCCATTCTCCTCCCTCATCTCCTCTGTCCTTACCAGGAACCCAAAGCATTAGCAGCCCCAGGAGCTGAGCAGGGAACCTCACTGTGAGAAGGTGAACTGAGGAGTCCTGATCAGTTAAGGCAAGGTTACAGCTGAGCTTTACTCCCAGACTCACAAGGGAAGGTCATTCCTAAGGGACAATATGCACATCCCCTGGTGGTTGCAGTGGTGTGGAAAGAGCCAATGTACAGTATGCTTAATTCTAAAATGTATCTTTGTCTTCAGTATTTTAACATGCCGCATCATGGCCTGAAACAAGCAAACAAAATAAACCAGTAGACAAAACTAGTTACTACCTACTACACATATATACTAAGTGTTTCTAAGAGTTCAAAAAATATTCTCAATTACTTCCAGAATTGAAAGGAAGAAAAGTCCAAATAGTATTATCAGAAAATATTATTATGTGGTGTACATGTTTGAGACTCCTGTGAGCTTTGATTTGCTCAACAGCCAACATCATGCATTGCAGGCAGCTTTCCATTCTCCTGATGGTTGGTGAGAGTGAGAGTCACTCAGCAAAGGGAGAAAGAGGTGCCCTGAAAGTCATCAGTGGCAGCAGGTGAGGTCAGGATACACTAGGGTCGCCTCCCAGTGATGTGACTAAGTGTCCCTGCATTCATGACAGCAGTAGGGAACTTTAGTGGCTGTTGCAGGGAGGACATGACAACCACTTCCTGGAGAATCTGTGGGGTGTCAGTGCACTAATTGGAGAGAAAGCGAGAGGCTCTAGGAATTGTCCTGGAGGGCTCTAGCCCCTGTTTACACAGAAGAGGAGCCAGTGTTTGTGACTGAAACCTCATGGCCTCTTCCTGGAAGGCTCTCCAGCCATCTCTAACTGAGCCCACCTGGTATGGACGTGTGGCCTGGGTACCCCAGCTGCTCCTGCTGCATTGAGAGGCTGAGCCTCCTTGAGGTTTGTATGTGGGGCCATCACACAACGCAGCGTCCCAGTGAGTGTCTTGCTAACAGTCGTATGTGCAGTATCTCCAGGCCCCACAGAAGTGATTGTGAGTATGTAATGATTAAAATTTTGACTGCATGTGTGTCTCCACTTTTGAATATGTGCAGAAAAATACTTTGAAGGATTGTCATTCTTTGCCTATGTTACAAACGTCTTGCCATAATCCATTTTTTTCTGGATTTCTCTCCTCAAAAATTGAATTTTAACTTCCCTCACCACAGAATGCATTATCTTGGAATACACAGTCATTTCTAATATGGTTTACTTCCTTAACAAGGAAAAGAGTATGTTGTCCTGCTGATTCAAATGCCCCTTTACTTTGATCATATCATGTCATGATTAGTTTAGAAATACATTTAGGGCATTATTTTAAGTGTCATCTTTGCAAGCTATATATTTTCTATACAATTACTACTAGAAGGTAGGAATGAGGTTCATTTTCATGTAATGACTACATTGTGTGAAAATGATGCATGTACTTATATATTGAAAACCATTTATTCTTTTCATGACAATTGAATACCAAAATTGTCATTTCTAAAACATTATTTAGTTGAAAAAGTTATCTCCACTCCCAGGTACAATAACATTGTGGTTAAAAGCCCTAAAGCAACTGCTGCCAAAGGTACAAAAAATACAAAATTTATGAAATTATAACATCAGAGAACAGTGGACAGAATAAGGCCTAGGTAATCTAAAATTCCAGGGTGAGGAAATCCTCTCTAATTGAGCTGATGCTTACCTGACTTTTTGTTCCCCTGCCATATTTGCCAGGTTGGCATTTGGACCCAAGTTCTGCTTTGGCACGGGCAGAGAAACTCATCTGTGAAAGGAGAATCTGGCTGTGCCTCTTTGGTTGCACAATGCAGCCTCAACTCACAGATAGTGTTCTCCATGGAACATTGGCTGTGGTTTGATGACATGTGCAGTCTTTGGGTGCTGGTCTAGAAAGACAGAAACTCCCCATACAGAGGATTCATGGAGTTTTTGTTGTTGATAAATTCTGCGCAGACCATTCATAATACATGTCTGAATCATGGATATATTGGTCATCATTGCCACTGCTCCCCAGTTGATGTAGACTCTATTGGGACTTCAGGTTAGCATGCCACTGCATGATTTGTGTTCTCAAACCCAACCATATGGCATCTGCTGGGTTATTTTAGTTTGACTGTGACTGAGTCACAGAACCTCAGGTCTATTTGCACAGGAACTTCAATAAACATTTGATGATTGCAGAACTAAAAGATCATTCTTGATGAACTACTTTTCCTTGAAACTTGCAGTGGTGCAGGCTCAACCCATGGAGCCAGGGAGTGATACTTTCTCCTCTGTGATTCTTCATAAGAAAGACATTTGGGCTCCTTTCTGAGTTTATATCACCAACCCCCAACAGTCACTGTCATCCACAACTGTACCTAATGTAAGTCAAAGAGCAGGTTATTGGGCCATAGTTGACCTCCACTATCTTCCATTAATTCTCCCATTCTTGAAGTCTGCCCACTGTCTTCAAACTCTTACATTTTGGGGAAAGAAATCGCATATCATTCTGTGTTATTTCAGTGTTCTATGAGGTAAATTCTATAACCTATGTCTTATAGTTTAAGTTTCTGTTTATGAAACTCAACTTCTGAAATTTCAAAAACTATCCTTTTCTGTCAGCAAGACACAATTGAAGTGAATAAAATAATTTTAGCATTCATATTTTCTATCTCTCACCAATTTACAAAAGTCCATTCTGAGGCTGAAATCCAAGATTTTCACTAATTGCCCTCATCCAGCTCCTCATGATGACAGCTTGTGCGGAAGGCTCTTTCCACCATCAATATGTGGTGGGAAGATAGGTGGTGAAAGAGAAAAATAAGAAGTTAGGAAAGTTGAAAAGTTCAATTTTTGGATATTACCACATATTATCCTCTTAAATGTAGACTTTAAACTTCTAAACCTCAAGATATATTCAAGAAGTGTTGCAACAAATCTGGGTTACTTGTCTGGTTATTTACCTCTTTAAGTCTTATTTCCCAATGCAGGCAAGGCAGGGAGGATTGGAATAGGATTTTCTTAAGCTCTCCCTCAGGGCAGTCTATTACCTGTGCAGGCACTGGGATCACCTCTGGTTTCCTATGGCTTATGCCATGCCAAGGCTGTTGCAGCTGACAGGGCTGTGAACGGGTTTTGCCTGACGTACAACTGAGGCACCCATGGGACAGAACCCTCAGATGCAACCTGTTGCCCTGAGTTCTCCAACATGTTTATCTCATACAGATAGAGATTCTGTTCAACTGCTCCCCAGAGAAACAACACACTTGAGCAGCTGGGCCACTCCAGCGGGAGGTTTTTGTTCAGAGCTGT
Source organism: Homo sapiens (assembly GCF_000001405.40). Classification (NCBI taxonomy): domain Eukaryota; kingdom Metazoa; phylum Chordata; class Mammalia; order Primates; family Hominidae; genus Homo; species Homo sapiens. Next base: position 285,143 of record NW_012132915.1, read on the forward strand.
ACCACTGTGTGAGGAAATTGTGTAGCTTGCATGCAGTAATAAACCCCGACATCCTCAGCTTCCACCCTGCTGATTTTCAGTGTGAAATCTGTCCCTGCCCCACTGCCACTGAATCTGTCTGGGACCCCAGAGAACCGGTTAGAAATCTTATAAATTAGGAGTCTTGGAGGCTGGCCTGGCCTCTGCTGAAGCCAACTCAAGTAGGTGTTTCCATCACTGTGTACGAGGCTTTGACTAGACCTGCAGGAGATGGAGGCCGGCTGTCCAAGGGTGACAGGTGAGGAGAGTGGAGTCTGGGTCATCACAATATCCCCACTGGATCCTGAAATAATGAGAGAGAAGTGCAAGGTTATGTAGAAACTTTAAGCACAATTTTAAAATAATTTTTCTTCTGTTATTTATTTCAGGCTAAATCAATTTTTATAATTTGATTCAGACCCTAGTAATATATAATTTCAAAATAAAAACATATTTTCAAAGCACAGCAGAGTGCTTTGAGTGCTAGAAGTTTCCTCTACCATTCCCTCTTTCTCTGTTAGAGTCTTCACCGGAGCACTGGTCTTTGTTCCTTCTGGAATCTTCCTCATTCTTACAGATCTAAACCTCACATGCCTTACTCACGCAGATATAAAAGTTACAAGCCCCATCCTGGAGTACAAGACGTACACATCTAACATGAGGACAGAACACACATGGGAGGCAATGGGGCCCCCAGAGTTCACCCTCCCACCCCATTCTCCTCCCTCATCTCTCTTCTGTCCTCACCAGGGACCCAGAGCATTAGCAGCCCCAGAAGCTGAGCAAGGAGCCTCATTGTGAGAAGGTGACCTGAGGAGTCCTAATTAGTTAAGTCAAGGTTGGTGCTGAGCTTTTATCTCAGACTTGCAAGGGAAGGTCCTCCCTGGGGGACAATATGCAAATCCCCTGGTGGGTGCAGTGGTGTAGAAATAACATGATATGTGCAGGGGTATGGGGGCCTTTCCTATGAACAACATATTTTGTATGCTTGAGAAAAAACTGGCAGAAATAACAATCTATGCAGCCTGATTGGGACAGGATATATTTCTATGTTTACTGTGTTTACTGTCAATTTTTTTACTTCCTAGTATTTTCCCAGTGCTTATTACACTTCTCTTTAATACGGCTGAGTTTCTGTAAATATTTGGTGCTTCTTATTTTTTTCTTCATGTGTGTTGAAAGGGTCTTGGTTTGCTGTTAATTTTATAAATCAAAATAAATTGTGCCCTGAGTAAAGTGCAAACATGTTCGCTGCTCAGCCAAATAAAGTACTCACATTCACTACCCAGATACAAATATGAATGATTTGAAATTCTCCACATGCTGCCTTCATTCACCTTTCTAGTCAATAGCTTCTGCCTCTAACCTACCAAGGGAACTGCAACTCTGATATCTATCACAAAGATTCAGTTTTCGTGAACATCAACAACATATGAATTGAGGTAAGTATATTTATGAAGCTTTCATTTAATTTCATGGATTTAAATTACTGTTCATTGTCGTTTACTGTGATTCTGAATTCTGAAGGATTTCTTCTTGAGTTTCTTATAGGAGATATATGCTAGTCACGGCTTCTTTTCTTTTCTTTAAGGATAGTTTTGCTGAATATAAAATCATTTTAAACTGATTTTTCTAGTACTTCAAATAGCTTTAACATTAATGGTTAATCCACTATTATTAATGAAGTTACAATCTACATTTGAATTTCACTGAGCTTTCCACTGATACATGTATTTACCATTTTTACTTTTAATGTTTTAGGATAAAATTTCTGGATCCCATATTGCATTCAGTTTTCATGCTTTCTTAATTTCCTTCAATCTCTGACAGTTTTTTAGTCTTTGTTTTGAAATACCTTGAAACTTTTGATGTATGCTGGCTGGTTATTTTTCAGAATGTCCCTTAAGTTCTATTGTTTGGTATTTTCTATTGATTAAAGTCAGATTTTTCATTTTTGGCAAGAATATTACAGCAGGGATGTGTCTTCAGTACATCCTATCAAGAGTTACACAGTATCAACATGTCATCACTGGTGTTGATAAATGAATATTGCTAAGGAACCCTTTTTGTAAGAAAGTCTTGGTCAAAGGTAACCAAGGCAGCTGCTTTTGTCACTCTTCCTATATGGTTATGTGCTGACTTTGTTAGGAGTTGTCTAGTCCCATCTGCTATGGTTTAGATGTTTGTGATGTTCCAAACTTAATGTTGGAATTTAAAGCCTAAGTTGATATTAAAAGGTAGAGCCCCTTGGGAAGTGATTAAGTCATGGGCTCTGCCCTCAATAAATGGGATTAATGGCCTTATATAGAAGATTTCAGAGAGCTGCCTGGCCCTTCCATCTCTGTTGCCATGTGCAGACGCAAGATTCAATTTGTCTCCTTTGCCTTTTCTGGCTCCACCAGACAGCTTCACCGACACTGAATCTGTTAGCATCTTGATCCTAGAGTTCTGAACTCCAGAACTGTGAGAAATAAATATTTATTGTTTATAAATTTCCCAGTCTGTGAGTTTGTTATAGTTGCATGAAAGAACTCAGACACTATCTGATTCTCTTTCTACTTATTTATTTTTTTCAGAATTCAGTTCTACTTAAAGCCTGCTCTCCAATAGAGAATACTGATTAAATAAATTATGCTCACTCTTAAATGTCAAATATTTCCATCATGGCCATTCAACACTGGAATGTTGATGATGTGAAGGAAGGAAGAGAGGACTGGTGTCTATTAAAACATAGTGGTACCCACCAGTGGATGGATGTTCCTGAGTAATTTGGACAAATATATAGTCCTACACATCACTTAGAATATTTCAGAAACTAAATGGAAAAGTTTAGAATTGATTGAGCTACTTCTAAAGTGGGAGGTTGAGATGCTATTGGTGCCATACTAGGATGCACACAGTTGAGACATGATTTCCAAGAATCTGAAATCCTAGGGACTAAGTTGAAGAATATGTGGCTATATCAACATGGTACTTATTTCTCAAAATAGATATTTTTCTAAGTTTTTAATTCCTGCTGTGACTAATCAATGGGATTTTGTCTTTTGATTGTTGTGAAAGTAGATAACTTGTTTTGATTTCAGAGACTTATCAGTGGAAGGATATGAGTATCAGATGTGGCTTTGGACTTGGACTTGGGACTTTTGTGTTAAAATTAGAATAAGGTAAGACTTTGGGCAGATATTGAAAAGGAATTATTGTATTTTCAAATGTGAAAAGGACATGAGATTTGAGAGAGTCCAGGGGTAAAAGGATGTTGTCTGCATATTTGTTACTGCTCAAATATCATGTGGAATTGTAATCCCCAGTATTGCAAGTCAGGCCTGATGGGAGGTGACTGGATCATGGAGATAGATTTCTCATGAACAGTTTAGCACCATCTTCTTGGTGCTGTTCTCATGATAGCGAGTTCTCATGAGATCTGCTTATTTAAAAGCATATGGCAACTCCTTCTCTCTCTTCTGCTCTTTCTCTGGCCTTGTGATGGGCCTACTACCCCTTAGCCTTCCATCATAACTGTAAGCTTCCTGAGGCCTTCCCAGAAGCTGAGCAGATGCCAGCATCATGCTTCCTCCAAAGCCTGCAGAAATGTGAGCTGAGTAAAACTCTTTTCTTTATAAATCACCCAGTCTCAGTATTTCTTTGTAGCATTGCAAGAATGGCCTAATAGATTTGGTCTCTTTTTTTTTTTTTTCTTTTTTTGAGATGGAGTTTCGCTCTGTCACCAGGCTGGAGTGCAGTGGTGCAATCTTGGCTCACTGCAACCTCTGCCTCCTGGGTTCAAGTGATTCTCCTGCCTCAGCCTCCTGAGTAGCTGGAACTACAGGCATGTGCCACCATATCCAGCTAATTTTTCTATTTTTAGTAGAGACGGGGTTTCACCATGTTGGCCAGGATGGTCTCAATCTCTTGACCTCATGATCCACCCGCCTCTGCCTCCCAAAGTACTGAGATTGCAGACATGAGCCACTGAGCCCAATCTCTCCTTTTTTTTTTTTTTTTTAATGAGGACACTAATTGAATCAGATCAGAATCTCAACCTTATGGCCTCATTTGACTGTTAGTTTCTTAGCGATACCTCCAAATATACGCGCACATGGAGTTAGGGCTTCAACTGGTGAATTTTGAGGGGACACAAATATTCAGTTCATAAAAGCTTACCTTATTTTCTTGATTCATCAAATACTTGCTCTCTTGGCATATTTTGTGGTCACCTACGGAGGTGAGATGGATCTTTTCTAATTAGTAGATATTATGGTGAAGCTGTTGACACTCCATGTACAAGAGAATTTGGGAGAAATTTTCTAACTCACACAAGGGAATCTTGGGGAAAGCAGGATATGCACAAGCTGGTATAAGCTGGCTCGAGTTACACAGAGGGCTGAGTTTTTATAGTTGGACTGGAGATATGCTATCTTGCATTGCTGAGGATCTATGAGGTTTGACTGTCCTGCAGGCAGTTGCACAAATATGTGGTGGAAGGGAAAGTGGGAGGTGGTGATTGAAAGCTGTCACTGATCAAACATCAAAAATGGAGTCAGATGCTTATTACATAGCACTTATTCGAAGGTACATGGTACCTTAGAGTATCAGCTTTTTATATTTTGTCCAGCTTTTTATATCTGTTTTTAGCAGCTTGGCATGAAATAAATTTATCTGCTATTTAACATAGTGGGAGTTTTAGGGGAAAAAAATCATAATTTTGTAAATAACATCAAAGAAAACAGTATTTGGGGAAACACTGGATCTACATAATTAAGAGATGTAGCAAAATTATAATGATTATTAGTAATTATTTAGTGTTTAATACATTTGAAAGTTATAAACATTTTATAAGTATTCAATTACTTAATTATTATAATAGTTTTATGGTATAGTTACTTCTTTATTTTCCTTTATTAGAGATAAAAAAACAAGGTAAAAGTGTTTAAGTCATTTGCCAAATTTACACATATATTAAGTGTAAGAGACAAAATTCCAACCAATGATATGTGATTACAATCTGTGTGTTCTGTTATCACAGAAACTAATATTTCAAAATCTCTTTCACTGAGCTTTCTACATGATTTCATCAATTATGTATGAGTAACTTGAACAAGATAACACTGCTGGATCATTGCACTGCCTTTGCTCAGTTTTGTCACACGAGAGAGGCAAGATTTGATGTTGTTGACAGTAACAGTACCCTGCATCTTCAGGCTTCAGGCTGCTGATTGTGGGAACAAAATCTACCTCAGACTCGTGGTCACTCAACCATGCAGGGACACTAGGGTTCTGGATAGTGGCTTGCTTCCCTCAACCTTAGTCCAGAACTTGAAAATTGAGAACTCATGAACACAAGTAAGGGAACAATACACACTGGGGTCTACCTGAGGGTGGAGGGTGGAAGAAAGGAAAGGAGCAGAAAAGATAACTATTGGGCACTGGGAATAATACCTGGGTGACAAAGTAATCTGTACAAGGAACCCCCATGGCACAAGTTCAGTTATGTAACAAAACTTCACATATATCCCTGAACCTAAAACAAAAGTTAAAAAAATAAAAATAAATAAAACTGAGGTGGCACAATATTCTCATTGACATTTGAATTTTTTTGAAAAAATCACATAAGCACAAATGTCAGTGAGGTTAAACACATCCCACTCTATGAGCTTATCATGTTACTCAACACTGTGAGTGCTCCATGAGAAATCAAATGTCACAGACCAAAAAAGGTACTAAAGATTCAACTTACAATGAGAAGAAAGCAAATTTCACCATCATGTGGCACCTCCTCATAATCCTTTTCCTTATCTGGGATCAGGCAGCAGGAGACAGAAGAGTTGAGCTCCTTATGTCCATTATGTACATGGCTGAGGCAGACACCTGCCCTGAGCCAGGGAACAGCCCACTGATAACGGCTTTGATATGTAGCCAAATGCTCTATGGAAAGCACGCAAAGTCATCCCAGGCTGAGATATTTTGGAGCTTCTTGTTCCAGAACAGATTATTTCACAGCTGTCACACACACACGGATGATCCTTCCCCAGTGTCTTCAGTCTGTAGAGGGACTATGTGGAACCCCTCACTTAATAATACTCCAGATCACCACAACATTTCCTCAGTCCTCAGCTGCAGCTGGTCTTGTTCTGGTGATGACTAATGCGAGTGACCACAAGCATGTTATATGAACCTTATAAGACCATGGTCATCATAAATAATAATCACTGATACAGCTATTAATTCAAGTGGCTTGAATACAGAGTCATTTTCTTGGTATGAACCTAACCTGGGAATGTTCCATACAAAATGGATCAAGATTATAAGGTCAGTTACCATACTAACAGAATTTGGGGATTTAGAGTTGAGGGAAACAAAGTAAAAGAAGAATGTGGAGAATTTTATACAAAAGCCATACTGACTATAACTGAAAATAAAAAATCCATGCCTTACAGTGTAAATTCAAGAAAAAAATTCACAATAAAGTGAAAACGGCAAAGAATTAATGAAGAAAGTTTACATTAAACTGCCTCAAAGGATAATGAGAGTTTTGATCAACATAGAAGACACTGCTAAAAACTCATTATTTGTTGTTTGATTGGATGAAGTTGCTTGAAGGGATGAAAAGTACAGTTTGAGTGAACTCCCATTCACAATTGCTACAAAGAGAATAAAATACCTAGGAATCCAGCTTACAAGGGACGTGAAGGACCTCTTCAAGGAGAACTACAAACCACTGCTCAATGAAATAAAAGAGGATAGAAACAAATGGAAGAACATTCCATGCTCATGGGTAGGAAGAATCAATATCGTGAAAATGGCCATACTGCCCAAGGTAATTTATAGATTCAATGTCATCCCCATCAAGCTACCAATGACTTTCTTCACAGAATTAGAAAAAACTACTTTAAAGTTCATGTGGAACCAAAAAAGAGCCCGCATTGCCAAGTCAATCCTAAGCCAAAAGAACAAAGCTGGAGGCATCACACTACCTGACTTCAAACTATACTACAAGGCTACAGTAACCAAAACAGCATGGTACTGGTACCAAAACAGAGATATAAACCAATGGAACAGAACAGAGGCCTCAGAAATAATGCCAGATATCTACAACCATCAGATCTTTGACAAACCTGACAAAAACAAATGGGGAAAGGATTCCCTATTTAATAAATGGTGCTGGGAAAACTGGCTAGCCATATGTAGAAAGCTGAAACTGGATCCCTTTCTTACACCTTATACAAAAATTAATTCAAGATGGATTAAAGACTTAAATGTTAGACCTAAAACCATGAAAACCCTAGAAGAAAACCTAGGCAATACCATTCAGGACATAGGCATGGGCAAGGACTTCATGTCTAAAACAACAAAAGCAATGACAACAAAAGCCAAAATTGACAAATGGGATCTAATTAAACTAAGGAGCTTCTGCACAGCAAAAGAAACTACCATCAGAGTGAACAGGCAACATACAGAATGGGAGAAAATTTTTGCAACCTACTCATCTGACAAAGGGCTAATATCCAGAATCTACAATGAACTCAAACAAATTTAAAAGAAAAAAACAAACAACCCCATCAAAAAGTGGGCAAAGGATATGCACAGACACTCCTCAAAAGAAGACATTTATGCAGCCAACAGACACATGAAAAAATGCTCATCATCACTGGCCATCAGAGAAATGCAAATCAAAACCACAATGAGGTAGCATCTCACACCAGTTAGAATGACAATCATTAAAAAATCAGGAGACAACAGGTGCTGGAGAGGATGTGGAGAAATAGGAACACTTTTACACTGTTGGTGGGACTGTAAACTAATTCAACAATTGTGGAAGTCAGTGTGGTGATTCCTCAGGGATCTAGAACTAGAAATACCATTTGACCCAGCCATCCCATTACTGGGTATATACCCAAATGACTATAAATCATGCTGCTATAAAGACACATGCACACGTATATTTATTGTGGCACTATTCACAATAGCAAAGACTTGGAACCAATCCAAATGTCCAACAATGATAGACTGGATTAAGAAAATGTGGCACATATACACCATGGAATACTATGCATCCATAAAAAAGGATGAGTTCATGTCCTTTGTAGGGACATGGATGAAGCTGGAAACTATCATTCTCAGCAAACTATCACAAGGACAAAAAACCAAACACTGCATGTTCTCACTCATATGTGGGAATTGAACAATGAGAACACATGGACACAAGAAGGGGAACATCACACACCGGGGCCTGTTGTGGGGTGGGGGCAGGGGGGAGGGATAGCATTAGGAGATATACCTAATGCTAAACGGCAAGTTAATGAGTGCAGCACACCAACATGGCACATGTATACATATGTAACAAACCTGCACGTTGTGTACATGTACCCCAAAACTTAAAGTATAATAAAAAAAAGAATTATACACTTAAAAAACAAAAAAGAAAGAAATAATTTATCCTATAGGATTTCCCACATTTAGGGTTTGCCTGACTGTATCCTCATGATTTCACTGAGTTTTAAATAATAATTACATTGTTTCCAAGGCAAAAAAAAAAAAAAAAAAGAAAAGTACAGTTTGAGGGAAAAAAACATTTAAAAAACACAGACGTTTGAAGCAGGAAGCCCTGAAAGGAAGCTGTGGCTTTATGCTCTGTGGAATTTTGACTGCTGAGTGCCTTCTTCCTGAAAGGGAGTATCTACAGCATTGTCTGTCAAGTATGTGCATCCTAGTCCTGTCTCATCATTGTTCACAAGTCTTGAGTGGGATAGGGGGACAGGTGATATTTAGGAACTATGGGCAAAGAGGCTCAACTGCACAGAGTCTGATCTAGATGAGGAGATCTTGAACTTTAACTTACCACCATCATGGGAAATGCTTGTAGATGTTGCAGATGAAAATTAGTATATGTTGCATACAGTAAAAATGTAGATTGATTTAAACAAGCGTAGAGAGTTGCCAGCTGGATACTCCAAGATGGTCACAAGATCTTCCATCTTATTAGTTCCTCTAATAGTGTGATGTTGATAATTTCCCTATTGGACATATTAGCATACTTTTCCCCCTTTGGAATCTTAGTGAACCTATAATTGTCATAGAAGTAACACTATGTGTCTTCTGAGGCTATAGTAAGTCATAAGAGGTTATAAAACATCTGTCTGGTACTCTTCGAGGAAGTGTACAAGAAGCCAAGCAGGAGCATGTAGAGATTCACAGCCTCAGCTGAGGACTCATCCTATAGCCTGAATTGGCCACCTTTTATATGACTCCATCCCCAGCTGCTATCTGACTACATCCATGTAAGAAATCCCGAGCAGAAATCTTGGTCAGCCCAGGAGACACCTAACAACTACAAAGATAATAGTATAATGATGTCAATTGTAATGTGTCATTAAGTTTTGGGTGATTTGTTCTGAATCAGTAGTAACTAGCTGCCAACTCATAAATATAGAAAGAATTTGGAAGTAGAAAGTCATCTATGGTTACTAAATGAATTTGGGTAACGTATACATTGGAGTTCTTATATTACTTTGGCAATTTTTCTTTAAGTTTAACAATATGCCCAAATAAAAAGTCACATAAAATATGTTCAACAAATCAAAACCACTATGAGATACCATCTCACACCAGTTAGAATGGCAATCATTAAAAAGTCAGGAAACAACAGGTGCTGGAGAGGATGTGGAGAAATAGGAACACTTTTACACTGTTCGTGGAACTGTAAACTAGTTCAACCATTGAGGAAGTCAGTGGGGCGATTCCTCAGGGATCTAGAATTAGAAATAGCATTTGACCCAGCCATCCCATTACTGGGTATATACCCAAATGACTATAAATCATGCTGCTATAAAGACACATGCACACGTATGTTTATTGCAGCATTATTCACAATAGCAAAGACTTGGAACCAACCCAAATGTCCAACAATGATAGAATGGATTAGGAAAATATGGCACATATACACCATGGAATACTATGCAGCCATAAAAAATGATGAGTTCATGTCCTTTGTAGGGACATGGATGAAATTTGAAATCATCATTCTCAGTAAACTATTGCAAGAACAAAAAACCAAACACCACATATTCTCACTCATAGGTGGGAATTGAACAATGAGATCAGATGGACACAGGAAGGGGAATATCACACTCTGGGGACTGTGGTGGGGTGGGGGGAGGGGGGAGGGATAGCATTGGGAGATATACCTAATGCTAGATGACGAGTTAGTGGGTGCTGCGCACCAGCATGGCACATGTATACATATGTAACTAACCTGCACAATGTGCACATGTACCCTAAAACTTAAAGTATAATAAAAAATAAAAAAATAAAAATAATAAAAATAAAACATAAAAAAAATGTTCAACAAAACCAAACAGAAATGTACAAAATGCAGTTGGATAAAAATAAAGAAAACTCCAATAAATGGAAGGTTGCACCATGCTCATGAATTGGGAGACTTAATAGTGTATATTCTCCCTAAATTTGTTGAAAACGTTCACAATAAAAAATCTCAGGGAATTGTTGTTGCAATTGAAAAGACATTACTTAAATATATATGAACATTCAAAATGCAAAAAGTAATCAAGACAGTCTTGCTAAGATAAAAAATGTTGGAGGACTAATAGTACACAATACCAAAGCCTGTAAGTTACAGTAATTAAAATATATGGTATCAGTGAAGTGTCAAACAAATTAGCCAGTTCAATCAGTTTGAGAATCCAGAAACTGATCCACCCATCCGTAGTCATTTGATTTACAATAAAAGTGCTACTTCAAAGTAGTAGAAGTAAAATAAATTAATCATACTGGATCAATTCAGTATCTGTATTATATGAAAATGAATCTTAATTCTATACCATATACAAATGTTAATCATCAATAAATTTTAAATATAAATATGAAAGGCCCAAGAGTAAATCCTCTACAAAAGGGTATAGAAATATATTTCATGACCCTAGAGATAAAAAAATAATTCTTAGAGAAAATAAACAAAATATCTAGCATAAAGAAATTAATAACTTAGACTTCACTAGTATGACATCCTTTTTATAATGTCTAAAAGAAATAAACAACTTTTTAAAGGAATACATATAGAAGAAATAAACTACATTGATAAAGAATATTGAATTGAAAATTTTGATTAACTTGGTGGTGGGAAATAATATGTTTAAGAGATTGTGGAGAACCTCAAAATGGATACCAGTTGATATCTTAAGTGGTTGTTTTGCAGGATAGTAACATGAATTTATTATATTACTAATATTAATGAATGCATTAGTGAGTGCTAAAAATATGAATAAATAAATAAGAACCATAATGGATTAATAATAAAAGTGCATTATGGACCAACATTATAATTGTGTTATTAACCATCATTGATTATTATTCCTTGCAATCAGTTAATAAAGTTGAGGCCCATTAAAAAAGATAATAGAAAAAGAAAAATGAAAGGGAAGAAGGAGGAATTGAAAGGAGGACAAGAAGATGTTGTAAAAAAAATAAATTAACGAGAAAAGTTAAGTAAAAAAAAAAACTCTTGCGGACTCCAGAACATTTCTACATTATGTTTTGCATAATCAATAAAATAAAGAAAAACATATAACCTAGGATGAAAAATAGCACAAAATATGTAATTATCGAAAATGTAAGCATAGTTCCTTAAACTCTGTTGCAATATAAGAAAAATAAAACAAACTGCATCATTAAAAACAAAACCCAATATTCAAGACAATATAGCAGAATTGGCACTGCAATTGATCAAAACAGTGATATGGAAGGCAAACTAGAGTAGCACTTTTGTTTTTCAAAGGAGAGAATCATGACATTAGATAATAAAGAGAGAGCTTAGACAGAAAAACAGAGTAGAAAGTTAAACCTGAGAATTAAACATTTTCCTAAGGAAGAAATGAGTCCTTAGAAAAGAATCAGTAAGAAGAAATGTAATCTGAAATAAAATTTCCATGTCTGTTAACTACTAATGAGTGTAAATTCAGTGGAGTCACACAATTGTATTCAAACATTTATAAAATGAGAAAACACAAATATTTCATAATAAAATACAAATTCAAAGAATGTAAGGGTTATTTTTTTCAAAGATAAATGTCAGGCTTTCTTCAGAGTCCTGGCCTGCAAAATGAACTCCCAGTAATCAATGTAATTATATTTGAAAATGTGCAAAGTTTTTATAAAAGAAATTATACTGCATGCATTTTCTATTGAACTAGGGAAATAAAATATGAAGAAAATTTTTAATTTGAAACAAGTAAATTATGATATGCATAAGGATTTATGAAACTAGAAACCCTTGAAAAATGTATTACAGCTGATAAAGAGATGAAGTAAAGTCGGTTGCTCAAGAAGAGGAAGCTGTGGTTTGTGATTGTAAAAGAATGTTGGTGAGGATAAAAATCAACAAAACCTATAAGTTAATCTAACTAAGTTAAAAATGTGTTGATAAATGCAAAGTCATTCCATAGGAAAAATTCCTCAAATATAAGGCATATAATGCAATGCAATTTAACTGTAATAATCTGACTATAACAATGACAATATTACTCATGCAAAATTAGGAATCATAATTGAAGGGCAATAACAAGTTTTACCATCATACTGGTTTAATAGATGATAAAATTTAATAACCAGTATTTTCCTTGACTTCAAAATTTAAAATTATAGATTTATATAGGCATAACAAAAAGTAAATATGACATATATGCTTATATTTTGTTCTTTCAGTTTATTCCCATTCTATCTTGTTTAGGATTCACTCACGGTGGTCATTTATTAATTTTTTTTAAATAAAACATCTAACCTTTCGAGATCATTCTACTCTATATAAGGAATTACAACAACTGACACAAAAAGTTAATTAGTGAGAGAGAGAGATGTCAGTGCTCAGTCCTTTTATGTCAGGCACTAGTCCAGAGCACAAGATCCTAAGGACAGACACACTACCTAAAGAACAAGGCATTCTGCTTAAATGTTACCTCCTTCCTACAGGAAATTTTCATTTCACTTTCCTCAGCTCCCCGTCTTTCATTCTGATTAGCTCTCCTTAGTTTGTGTCTTGAACCAGTTCTTCCTTGTCTGAAGGAACTTTTCCACTTCCTGAGTCCATTCCCAACTCTAAACACCATTGCGAGTGAGTACCATCCACCAAGTAGTAAAAACATGTAACCAGGTTTGGGAAGACTAGGAAAAATTTAAAAACTATTTAATGGGCATCTCTAAGCTACCTTGGATTTATTTTCTTACATCTGGATATATTCTAGTTCTTCTAAACGCCTCCTCACTCAGAGGTTTTTTCTTCTCATTGCATAGGTTGGCAATAAAATAGAATCTTTGCACTGCTGGTGGAAATGAAAAATGGTGCAGCAGGTTTGGAAAACAGTCTGCAATTCAAGTGGTTAAACATAGAGTTACCATATGATCCAGGAAGCTCTTAAGTGTGGACCCAAGAAAAAGGAAAACATATATCTACACAAAAACTTGTACTTCAATGTTCTTAGCAAGTTACTGGCACATCTTTAGAATTATTTAGCAACAACTTTGTCCTAAAAAGGGGTCACCAGAATTCTAAGTGATGCTCTTCAACTAGCTGGATCATCTTGAATAATTCCTATCAACAAATCTATCTGGGTTTTAGTCATCTCATCTTTACTGAAGGATAGAGCAAGTATAATTTTGTGTATGTTTTTATTTCACTTTTTATAGTGTAAAATTACCAGTGTCTTCAGTGAATAAATAAAAGTGAAAAACACATTGAAGCAAATTGTTCTGATTCTACAAATACTGACTTAATTGGATTCGTACATTTAGGGTAAATAGGAACCATCATTAAAATGCAATACATTTTGAGTAGCTTAGAATTTTGATGCTTTCCAGGACAAAAAAATAAAAGAGGTTATAGTGACTCATGTGTTCCTGATGACACTAACAGTGTGGTAACCTTGTAAACCCTGGGCTTCCTTACATTTGGTGCCCTGGTTCCATAGATGGAATGTGAAAATGAATACAGATTATAATTAAATACAATTTGATTAGACAAGGAAAGAAGTTAGGATGCATTGATTGGTGCAAATAACATTATGCTTCATAACTTTTTTAAAATAAACTTTTGATAAGATAAAACTTACCCATACATGTATATTCACAAATCTCAACATGTGTATATGCACTCACAAATTATAATGCAGGTTTTAATAAATTTTTCAGAGATTGAACACACTGTATAACAACCGTACCAAAGCAGAACACTCCCGGTCTCCTAGAAGCACCTTCTGTCTCCTCCCAAACATTAGCCCCACTCTTCTCCAATGCAAATTTAAATCTCACTTTCAGTAACATTGATTTAGTGATGGCGGTTTTTGAACTATATAAAAAGGAATCATGGATAGTGAGCTTTTTATTTCTAACGTCTTTTGCGCATTATTATGCTAGTAAGATACACCCACATTCATGGATGTAGTAGCAGCTTTTATATTTTCATTCATCCATAGTATTTAATTGTATGCACCTACCTCATTTTATTTATTCAAATTACTCTAGATTTGTATTTAGAATGTTCCCAGTTTGGGGCTATCACTAATAATGCTATGAGTGTTATTTATTTATTTATTTATTTATTTATTTATTTATTTATTTATTTTTGAGATGTAGTCTCACCCTGTCACCCAGGCTGGAGTGCAGTGGCATGATCTCGGCTCACTGCAACCTTCACCTCCCGGGTTCAAGCGATTCTTCTGCCTCAGCCTCCCTAGTAGCTGGGAATATAGGCGTCCGCCACCACGCCCAGCTAATTTTTGTATTTTTAGTAGAGACAGGGTTTCACCATATTGGCCAGGCTGGGCTCGAACTCCTGACCTTGTGATCTGCCTGCTTCAGCCTCCCAAAGTGCTGGGATTACAGGCTTGAGCCACTGCGCCCGGCCGAGTGTTATTGCACATTTCTTTCTGTGCACATCTGTACACATTTCTGAGTGGAAGGGCTGGATTAAAAAGGGATTATATATTCAGTGTCAGTTCTCCAACTTGTGGTACCACTTTATATTCCCAAACACAATGTGTGGCCCTTCTAGTTCCCCCTTTCCGTCACTGTATTTGGCATTGTCCCTTTGAGTCATCCTATTGAAGTTTTAGTGGCAGACAGTTGTGATTTTCATTTGTAGGACTGGGATGATTATTGATGTTGGACAGCTTTTTATTGTGTTCACTCTGTTGTGCAGTGTCACCTTTGTCCCTAAAAAGTGTCACTATATGTGTTAGTCATTCTCAGAATACTCTCTTCTGTTGCATTAGGCAATTTGTTTGAACTCACATCAGCAGCATGGTTCGAGTATCCAAGTAGTGTAAGTCCTCATTCTTGGGCTTCTTCGGGTTTATTGTGGTTATTCAAACTCCTTAACAATGTAATATGATATGTAGAATCAGCTTTTACATTTCCATTTAAAAACGGTTTGAAATTTTGATTTCGATTATCTTTAATATATCAATCTGTGAAGAATGAACATCTTTACAATACTGGGACTTTCAACCTTTGAAAGTACTGTGGCCTTCCATTTGCTTAGATTTTCTTTGATTTCTTTGAATTATATTCTGGAGCTGTCAGTATATTTTGTTAGTTTTTTCTAATGCCTCTTGGTTTGGTGCTACTATAAATGATGTGTTTCATAATTTTAATTTTAGCAGTTGTTACATTTATATAAAAATAAATATATTTTATATTGATCTTTAATCTAACAATTTGCTATGTATCTCATTAATTCTAATAATTTCTGTGTAGACAATTAGAAATTTCTCCCCCACACAGTCCTTTCATCAGTGAATTGTTATACCTTTAATTCTGCCTTTCTAATTCTTCTTCTTTATCATTGTCGCTGCTACTTTATCGCACTGGCCAGGACCTTTAGAGGCGTCCACTCATGTGAGTCTGATCCAATGGCCTTGACCATGAAATTGTGCCTGAACCTGGCTGTACATTTGGGTCTGAGAAAAAAATCCATGAGTGAAACTATAAATATTATAAGGAATTACTTTTGAGAACCTCAGAATTTCCAATCAAAGCAGAGATGCTAAAACTGAGCAGCACCACATCAGATGACTAAAAAGGAAGCAGGTAGTATAATCAAATAAACACCTTAGGTCTCCTGGAGGTTTTTGTTGCATGTCGAATCAGTATGGGACACCAACTACTATGCTGATAACAGTGATGAAGTGCAAATCTCCAGGCTCCAGGCTCCAGGCTGCCGATGGTGAGAGTAAGCCCTGTCCCCGACCCACTATCACAAATCAGGGCTGTACCATAGATGAGGAGCCTGGGAACCCGCTCAGGTTTCTTCTGGTACCAGGCTTAGTAGCTGCTAACACTGACTGGCCCTGCAAGTCAGGGTGGCTTTTTTCTCCAGAGACAAAGACAGGGAAGCTGGAGACTGTGTCATCACTGTTTCTACAGTGAAATCTGAGATTAGAAATAAAACGCCTTACAGTCTTTAGGATGGCTATTATAAAAAAGACAAGAGATAAATATTGATGAGGGTGTGAAGAAAATAAAACACTTGTACATTGTTGGTGGGAATGATGATTGGTGCACCCATTATGGAAAACAGTATGGAGGTTCCTAAAGAAATTCAAAACCTAACCACCTTATAACCCAACAGTGACCCTATTTTGGATACATACCCAGAAGAGATGAAATCACCACCTTCTTTTAAAGATACCTACACTCCCGTGTTTATTGCAGCATTATTCACAAGAAATGAGAAAAACCTGAGCATCCGTGGACAAATAAATGAATAAAGAAAATGTGGTATACATAAATGTACACACACACACACACACACACACACACACACACACACCATGGAATATAATTCAGCCTTAAACAAGAAGATTCTTTTTTATTATTATTATTATTTTTATTTTAGAGAAGTCTCACTCTTGTTGCCCAGGCTGGAGTGCAATGATGCTATCTCAGCTCACTGCAACCTCCTCCTCCCGGGTTCAAGCGATTCTCCTGCCTCAGCTTCCTGAGTAGTTGGGATTACAGGCCCATGCCAACACGCCCAGCTAATTTTCTTTTGTATTTTTTGTATTTTTAGTAGAGACAGGGTTTTGCCATGTTGGCCAGGCTGGTATTCAACTCCTGATGTCAGGTGATGCACCCGCCTAGTGCTGGGATTACAGGCATGAGCCACCACACCCAGCAGAAAAAGAAGATTCTTCTATTTGCCGTAATGTGGATGGACCTAGAGGACAGTATTCCAAGTGAAAAAAGCAAGATACAGAAATAAAAATATTGCCTGATTTTACTTACATGTAAACCTAAAAATAAATTAAATAACTAAAAAGATAAATTATGCAGAAATAGAGAATGAAACAGTCGTTATTAAGGGCCGGGGGTGGAATGGGAAGAAATGGGAAGATGTAGGTCCAAAGATGCAAGGTAGTAAATATTTACGAATAGCAAGTATAGAGATCTACTGTAGAAAATGAGGGCTATAGTTAATAAAACTGTACTGTATTAGAGATTTTTGTTAAATAAGTAGATTCCAGCTGCTCTTGTCACAGACGAAAAAGTAACTATGTGAGATGATAAATGTTCATTCTCTTCACTATAGTAAGCATTTTACTATCTATATGTATGCCACAACATCATATTGCAAACCTAAAATATACAGAATAAAATTTATTTTTTGAAAAAACAGTTTAAACAGAAAAACAAATAATCACACATGTAATCTAGATTATACCCATTGTCTTTCCAATAGAGTCAAGACCATTGATTTACATTGAGCTTTAATTATTGTGCTTGCTGAGCGGAAATGCCAGGTTGAAGGACCCAACAAAGTTGAGAGAGTTTTCACTGACACACAGAACCCCCCACGCCCCCCCGCATATTCCCCTCACCTGGGACCCAGAGTAACATAAAGAAATGGTAAATACATGAGCTGATGCACATCCTAAATATCCTGATTTGATCATTTTTCAACATATGTACATATCAAGACATCAAAGTGTACTCCATAAATATGTACAATTACAATGTGCCAATAAAAACAAATAAAATGCAAAGTTACCTATTAGTGACATTAGAAAGTAATGGAAGAAATGAGGACTAGGTGATCTAAAATTCTAGAGTAAAAAAACAACTAATTCTAGTTGAGTTGGTGTTCATCTGACATTTTGTTTTTCTGCCCTTTTTTTTTTTTTTTTTACCAAATGTGCGTTCGGATAGAAATTTTGATTTGGCACAGACAGAGAAACCCAGCAAGAAGAGAGAACATAACTGAGCTTTGAAGGTTGCACAGGGCAATTTCTGTGCAACCATAGCCAGATTTTTCATGTGGCATTTGCTGAGTTCTGAGTCAGGAGACAGGCTGCGGGAGCTTGGGTAGGAAGGCAGAAATCTCCAACACTCAGGATGTTTTTTCCTCCAGTGCTGTGCAAATCATCCTTTGTATATGTCTGAACCATGGACATTGATCACTATCCCTTTCTGCTGGGCCTTTTGGTTAACACGTCATTGCATGTTCATCTCCACAAACCTGACCACATCATCTCTGCTATAGGGGCAGAATGAGTTCTAGAAGATCTCTTCATGCTGAGTTGAATGGGATTGAGTCTCTTTGCACGGGAACTTCACTAAACCTTTGATGATTACAAACCTAAACAGCTTTTCTCGCCATTTTCCCATGAAACTTGCAGTGGCACAGGCTCAACTCAGGAAGCCAGGCAGTGGTCTCTTCAACTCTGTGACTCTTCACAAGAAATACCTCGGGACTTGATTTTAGGTTTATGTCATCAACTTGCAACACCCACTGGCATCTGAAGTTCACCAAATGTAAGTTAAAATGCAGGAGGATTGTCTAATACGGTAGACACAGTAGCTCATATCTACTGTGTTCCTTGTGTGTTCCCATTCCTGAAGTACCCTCGAAGTCTAAAACTGTTATCATTCTCTATTCTTCTAGCAATATATAGGGTGAATTCTATGCCCTGTATATTCCAGTGTATGCTTTTATTTTTAAAACCCAACTTTTGGAATTTCAAGAATTCCTTTTATGATCTATCAGTAAGAAGTAATCAAGGCAAATCAAAGAGTTTTAGCATTTGGATCTTGTATCTGACATTAATTTACAAAAGTCTATTTAGGCACTCAAAAACCAAGATTTTTGCTAATTGCCCCCAACCAGCTACCCGTATAAATGGGGAGCCACATTTTACAACTAGTGTAAAATGTTGTCTACAGTATCTTTATTACATAGGAAGAGAAGCAATAAGTAAGGAAAGTAGAAAGCTTGGAAGGTGGAAAATACCAATTTCTAAATATGACCAAATAATTATCCTATTAAAATATACAAAAATGGATGAAATACATACAAATGAGGAGGCACTCAGCATGTGTTGCCAACATTTGTATCAATTGCCTGGCACTTATGCTGATTAACTACAATTGAGAAATGTAAGAAAGGAGGATTCGAATGAGCTTTTATTCAGTTGCATCATGAATCAGCATCAGCTCCATGGGACCTTCCCCATTCTCCTACTGCTTTTGCCATGTCAAGGCTTTTGCAGCTGCACAAATGAGTAGTTCCTGAGATGTAACCAAGGAATTCATGAGACCAATCTACTCCTCTGAGTTGTCCAACATTTTCCTCATGCACAGACTCAGAGAACTTGCTGTGCTGCTCCCCAGACAAACATCACATGTGAGCAGCTGGGCCACTTCAAGCAGAGAGGTTTGTGCTCAGGGCTGTAGCACTGTGGGAGGATCTTGTGCATCTTGCATGCAGTAATAAACTCCAACATCCTCAGCCTCCACCCGGCTGATTTTCAGTGTGAAATCTGTCCCTGACCCGCTGCCACTGAACCTATCTGGCACTCCAGAGAACCGGTTGGAAACTTCATAGATCAGGAGCTGTGGAGACTGGCCTGGCTTTCTGCAGAAACCAATACAAATAGGTGTATCCATCACTATGCAGGAGGCTCTGACTAGACCTGCAGGACATGGAGGCCTGCTCTCCAGGGGTGATAGACAAGGAGAGTGGAGTCTGGGTCATCACAATCTCTGCACTGGATCCTAAAATAAATAGAAAGAAGTGGAAGGATATGTACAAATATCATGTGTCATTTATCATAAATTTTCATTTTTTATTTCAGGCTATATAATTTTTTGTTGTTTGTATTTATACACTAAACATATTCCAAATTTGCAAGCCGCAAAGGGGATTCTAGAAATCACCTACACCACCTCCCTTTCTCTGTGTGACAATCTTCACCAGATCACACAGGTCCTTGCTTCTTTTTGAATTGTCCTCACTCTCACAGATTTAAACCTCACATTCCCCATCCTGGAGAACAAGACCTGTACATCTAACACATGGGCAGGGCAGAACACACATGGAAGGCAGTGGGACCCCCAGGCTTACCTTCCCACCCCATTCTCCTCCCTCATCTCCTTCTGTCCTTACCAGGGACCCAGAGCATTAGCAGCCCCAAGAGCTGAGCAGGGAGCCTCATAGTGAGAAGGTGAACTGAGGAGTCCTGATCAGTCAAGGTAAGGGTTAGAGCTGAGCTTTTATCTCAGACCCACAAGGGAAGGTCCTCCCTAGAGGACAATATGCAAATCCCCCGGTGGGTGCAGTGATGCTAAGCGCAACAACAGGAGGATGAGGGCTTCTCTTGTGGGCAAGGGGACATAAAATATCCTGCGTGTTTCAAGGAAAACTAACCAAGATAAAATCTGTGTTGCTTCAGTTGGAGAAGAGACATATTATAATATTTCCTTTTCTTTCCACCTGTTTTTCAACAGTTCTTTAGCACTTTTCCAGGCACATTTTGCACTTGTCTTTAATAAAGTTGAGTTTCCATAAATATTGGCTGATTCTTTTTTCTTGCCTCCAATTTTCTTTAAAAGAATCTAGGCTTGGCTTTTCTATTTTTTTTTCATTGAAATAAACCACATATAAAGGGCAGAAATCCTAAATGTGGAATGAATAAAGTTTTATGTATATTCACTATCCAGCTGAAACTATAGAATGTTTCAAAATTTCTGGATGATTCTCTCGTACACCTTCCCATTCAATAACTGCCTCCCCATCCCAACCAAAGTAACTGTCTTTCTGACATCTACCACGATAGTTTGTTTGTACTTGGTAGTGAATATCATAGAAATTGAAGTAAACTTTTTTTTATCATTGTGTCTATTTTTTTCCCAGTTCTTTACTATTTCGAGGCCTTTATTTCTGCTTGTGGATTCAAATTACTGTCCTCTATAATTTCATGTGATTCTGAACAATGTTTTCTTAAATTGATTTCAGATAATTTATTGAATGTCTACAAGTAATAATTTCTTTTCATTTGTGTTTATCAAGGTAAGGACTAAGCTCTGATTTTTTTTTTCCTTGTCTCAGTTCCTATCTAAGGAGTCTGGGGAGTCATGCCCTACAAACTATAAATTCTCATCAGATGGGTTTTATTTAACCCTACATATCCCTGGACTTACTTTCCAACCTGACTGTGGTGTAACATTATGCAACAAGGCAGAAAATTAAAATATTTTACCCCAAAACATGTTTCTTTGCCCTATCTTGAAATGGCCTTGCAAAGCTGTCCTTTGTGGGGAAAAATTTGCATCTGTAAAGAATCTCTATTAACATAGCTAGATCTTTTTCTTCCAGGCTCTCCCAATCTTAAAGAAGAGTGTAGCACATTTTAAAGATCTGAATAGGAAATATTTGTAATCTATCGTCTCTAAAGGCAGCCACTATATGACTTCAAAAGAACCTTGGTCTTCCACAGTCTTTTATCTTAACCTGAACATTTATTTTCTATTGATCCCAGGTCTTTAGACAAACTCAACCAATTGTCAACAAGGAAATGCTAGTTAGAGCCTGGACCCTCCCCCGCTTCCCCACTCCCGATCCTCACCCCTGCTTTGAGTTGTCCCGCCTTTCTGGATCAAACCAATGTATTTCTTAAATGTGTTTGATTGACGTCTCATGCCTCTCTAAAATGTATAAAACCAAGCTGCGCCCCAACCACCTTGGGTACATGTTCTCAGGACCTCCTGAGGGTTGTGTTGGGGGCCACGGTCACTCATTTGGCTCAGAATAAATCTCTTCAAATATTTTAGAGAGTTTGACTCTTTATCGACAAAGAAATATGTTTAGTTTGCTTTATTGTTAAAGTATACTTTTGCTGTATATAGAATTTTGGGTTGATTTTTTTCTTTCAGCATTTGAGTATGCCATTCCACCGTCTTCTCGTCTCCATTAGAAATAATGGACCCTTATTCAGTGTCTACATTATTGTATCTTTGTACATAGTGGTTTTTTTTCTCTTGAAGATTTTCCCTTTGTAACTGTATTTCAGCATTTTAATTACAATATGTGTAGTTATGAATCTTTTTTGCTTCCCCTGGATGTGTTTCATCACATTTCTTGGATCTATATAGTAATGTATTTCAATACATTTGAAAAGATGTTCCCATTATTTTTCATATACTTTTTCAGCTCCTTTCTCTCTCCCTTCTCCTTTGTGACTCCCATCCACATTTGTTGGTGTTCTTCACACTGACCTATACATCTCTGAGGTCTTGCTTGGCTGCTTACATCTTTATTCTTTGGAACAGATTATTTCTATTGGTTGATCTTCAAGTTCACTGATTCTTCTGACACTGTCAACTATTGTGGTACCTATCTAAATTTTCAATTGAGTTATTCTACTTTTCAGTTTTAAAATTCTCTTTTGATATTTTTTTGTCTTCATAACTTCCACTGTTATATTGAAAGTCGCTATTTTGAAACCACCTTTGCAAAAATTTTAATAGTAGGAAAATTATGGCAGTAAAAGAGATCTGATCTAACCCACCTCCCCATCTTGCATTTTCCTTAATTATTCCTGGGCTTTTGGGCAGAGCTAACTTTGGAAGCCATTTAGGTTATAGTTTAAATGATGATATGGGTTACCCAAAACTCAGCTACCTTTGTAAAGATCATGAAAGGCCATCAAATAGTGGGAAAAGAGGAGCCTGATTCTGCTAAGGTGTGGACTGGTCACCAGATACTCCTGCAGATAACACCACTATTGTAGATTGGCCTTTTAAGATATATTTTCAAGTATTGTTGCATATCTGACAGCAATGGCTCCACCTGGACCTGCTAACCCACATCCTGTGGCCCCACTCAGGAGAGATTCAGCTCCAGAGAACAGCTCTGACATTTTATGACTTCATTTCTGACCCAACCAATCAGCAGCAAGCACCCATTACCTGGCCACCCCTTCCTCCAAACTGCCTTTGAAAAACCCCTAACTACAGGCCTTCAGGGAGATTGATTTGAGTACTAACTCTGTCTCCCATGTGGTGTGGCCAGCCTCATGTCTACCAAAACTCTTTATTGCAAATGAAACTGACTTTGCAAAATTATGACTGAGACAGTGAAAGAGGTCTAAATTAACTGACTCCATCTTGCTTCTAACCTCCAAGTTGTCCTTGTTCATTCCTGGGCATAGGCTGAACTAACTTTGAGAGGAATTTAGTTTAGAGTTTAAAACAAAGACAATAACAGCCTTTTCCCAAAGCAGATGTTCTTCTTGCCTGGGGACTAGATAGGCTTTGTAGGACTAACATTAGCCACAAGATTAGAAATTATGGTTTATGAGTCATGCAGCTGGAGGCTACAAGGTTCTGACCCCCCCTAAACTGCTCCTAAGATCAGTGCTTGAGATATTTTGCAGATCTTGCACTTGATGGATCAGCTGGCACCACCCAGATCAATAAACTGCTAATCTGATCTTATGGTCTCCCACCCAGGAACTGACTCAGTGCAAGAAGGCAGCTTTGACTCCCTATGATTTCATCTCTGACCAATCAGCACTCCTGGCTCACTGGCTCACCCACCACCCACCAAGTTGTCCTTAAAAATTCTGCTCCCTAAATGCTCAGCAAGACTGATTTGAGTAATAATAAAACTCTGGTCTCTCGCATAGCCAGCCCTGCCTGAATTACTCGTTCTCTGTTGCAATTCCCCTGTCTTGAGAACTCAGCTCTGTCTAGGCAGCAGGCAAGGTGAACACATTGGGCAGTTACACAATGTCGTGGTCTTCATTTGTGCAGTGGTTAGGAAAAATCCCTCAGCTAGGTACAATGTGTTTAATCATTTTTTTCATATTTTCCATTTTAAGTATTTGATCATAGAGTGCTGATCGAAAGAAATAAATTTTTTAAACATCTTTAAAATAACTCTATTGAATTCAACATCTCATTTGGTCTTTTACAACTGCGAGGTGAGCAGCAGGTAAGCAAGCAAAGCTTCCTCTGTCTTTAGAGCCTCTCCCCATTGCTTGCATTACCACCTGAGCTCCACCATCTGTCAGATCAGCAGCAGCATTAGATTTTCACTGCAGTGCAAACCCTATTTTGAACTGTACATGTGAGGGATCTAGGTTGTGTGCTCCTTATGAGAAACTAATGCCTGATGATCTGTCACTGTCTCCCATCACCCCCAGATGGCACCATCTAGTTGCGGGAAAACAAGCCCAGGGCTTCCACTGATTCTACATTATGATGAGTTGTGCAATTATTTCATTATATATTACAATGTAATAATAATTGAAATAAAGTGCACAATAAATATGTGCTTGGATAGTCCTGAAACCATCCCCGACTCTTGAGACCCATGGAAAAATTGTCTTCCATGAAACCAGTCCCTGGTGCCAAAAAGGTTGGGGACCACTGCTATAGATAATAGAAACCAGGATTGTCATTTCAAGAAACAGAAATCACAAATAAGAAAATGAGGAAAAATAGAATGATACTTGTGGAATTGCTCCTTAGGAGCTTATGTTCTTTTCTTACTTATATTTTCATTTGTATATTTTAATTAGTTTTGAAATAAATTTAGATTTATGCAAAGTTTCAAAAGTAGTAGATTGTTTCAATATACTTCTCCTCTACCTTCTCTTAATATTAAACATCTTAAATAACCAAAGTGGGATGATATAAAATGAAAAATTAATATTGATACAATAGTATTTACTCCATATTTGGATTCCACTAAATTTTTCACTAAAGATTCTTTCAAGTTCCAGTATCAAATCCAGGATGACATATTGCACTTAATTTTCTTGTCTCCTTAATCTCCTCCAATCTGTGATCATTGTTTATTCTTTCTTTGTCTTTCATGACCTTGATGCTTGTAAAATGTACTATCAATGATTTTTAAGATTGCCCTTCTAATTTTCTCTATTAATTAATTCAGATTATATGTTTTTGACAAGAATATCACAAAAGAGATGGTCCTTGTCAGCCAGTGCATCATCTTGAGTTGCATAATGTCAACATGTCTTATTACCTGTGATGATGAAGGACTGTGATCAATAAAATCCTTTCTGTAAAATGTTTTGGACAAAGGGAGCACACGCAACTGCTTTCACTGCTCTTCCTATTTGGTCATGTCCTCACATTATTAGAAATAATTTATTTTTCTCTGAGCCTGCCATTACTTATTTTTTTTTCAGAATTTAGTTATTTTTGAAGTCTGCTAACCAATTAAGAATATTGAAAAAATAATGTTCATTCTTAAACAGTAAATTTTCAGTGATGCCATTTACCAATGGAATGTTGTTAGCTTGAATAATGGAACAGGGGAATAGGATTATTAAAACATAGAAGTATACACCAACAGACAGCTGTTACTAAGCCATGTAATTGGATAAATGAATTGAGTTTTCTACCACTAGGAATGTTATAGAAATCAAATGGAAAGATACTGCAAGCACTGAGCTGCTCCTAACTGGAGAGATTGAAATACAATTGCTGCCATATTATATAATTCACACAGTTGAGACACAATATTGGAGAAGATGAAAGTCTAGGGCCTCAGTTTAAAATATATAGCATTTGTTATGAAGAATATATATTTTTCCAAGTTTTTGCATTTGTCATCTGATGAATCAGTGGGATTATGACTGAGTGTTGCTAGGGGTATGGAAAGAGGAGCTATTAGAGAAGGGCTACCAGACTTTACTGGATATAATTAGCCTAACTTGGACTTGTGGAGAAGAAGACTTAGAAGAAAAGCATTTGGTAAAGCCACACATGTTTTAAAAATCAAATACTTGCATCTTGAAAAACTATTTCCAGAGAAAAGCAATGACTTAGCAAAAAAGTTAAATGACAGTTTAGGTGACCAATTCAGTCTCATACACGTGCAGCTGCTTTGCTCTTTTTGCCTTGCATCCCTGAGGTCTCAGAAGGGCCTAGGCTTGAAAGGACTTGTTTCCCCAGGAATCAAGCAAGTAAGAAAATAAATTGACAACATACTTAGAGGAGAAGCCTGTCAAACTTCCAGGGGAAAACCTGGGATTAGGGGAAGCCAGGAAGAGCATGGCTGAGCCAGAAAGGGTGGAGCACATGAATCTCATGGAGATGAGCCATTAGGCAGGAAGTTGAGAATCAGAACAGCTGATTTAGAACAGACCAGTACCTCCTTATGGATCTGACACTGTGTATGGTCCAGTGGAATCTGCCATGAGGCTGTGAGTTGAGCAGCAAAGTCAGGGCAAGGCAAACTGTTCTTGGAGCCATGGACAACAGGAGAGTATTTCTTCAGGGCCAGTGATACAGGGGGCCTGAGAAGAGGGACTCAGGATGGAGCCCTCTGGGAGCTGCCTCAGCAATGCTGTCTGGACACTGATCATTTAATGAGAGGGACCCCTGGGCTTAGAGCCACACCACATCTTCCCACCTCCTTCAAGGGCTCCTCACCATTTCTACCTCACCCCAATTTCCTTCTTCTCTAAGAGGAGCAGCTGCTCAGACACTGATTCCCTGGAGGAAGCAGATGCTCAGCTGAGCAGAAGGGTTGACCCTGCATGGGTGTGTCACGTGTGTCCATGTAAAGAGAGTCCACCAACAGGCTCTGTGTGAGCAACAAGGCTGTTTATTTCACCTGAGTGCAGGCGGGCTGGTCCGAAAAAGGAGTCAGCAAAGGGTGGTGGGATTATTATTAGCTCATATAGGTTTGGGATAGGCATACAAAGTACATTCTCAAAGGCGGGGAGAATATTACAAAGTACCTTTTTAAGGGCAGGGGACACTATATCGTATCAGTTAGGGTGGGGCAGGAAAAAATCACAATGGTGGAATGTCATCAGTTAAGGCTATTTTCACTTATTTTGTGGATCTTCAGTTGTTTCAGGCCATCTGGATGTATACATGCAGGTCACAGGGGATGTGATGGCTTAGCTTGGGCTCAGAGGCCTGACAGGGAGGTGTATGTTTAGGGCTGTTCCACTGTATAGGGTCCCAGTGAGTGCGCTGCTCACAGAAGTAATATGCAACGTCTCCTGGCTCCACATTGGTGATTGTGAGTGTGAACTTCCTCCCAGACCCACTGCCACTGACGTGGGCTGGGACCCAGGAGCCCTGTTTGTCACCATATAGATCAGTGGTTGAGGAGATTGGTGTGGCTTCTGTTGGAACCCGTTCAAGTAGATGTCTCCATTCCTATGGATGAGATTGCGACTGGCCTTGCAGGAGACGGAGACCCTGTCTCCCACGGCCACAGACAGGAGGGATGGGGGCTGAGTCAGCACAGTAGCCTGATGGGAAAGGGTGGAAAAACAATTGATCAGTCTGAATGCAAGTCAAAAACAATGGTTGTGAATGAAAAAAAAGATACATCATATCTAGGTGTTCTTCAGGTTTTTAAGCCTCTGCCATCTGAATGAAAGGCTGAAATAAAAACTTTGGCCATTGATCTTCACTGTCTCACCCACTGGATAAGAGTGGCCACCACTGTTCTCATCCTGAAAATTACATATATGTACAAAGAATCCTGTACCATGAATGCAGAGCACCAGGGGCAAGAGGATCCATCCCAACAAGACCATCCTGGGCAGGGGAATCTTCTGGAAGTCTGTTTTCAGCCTAGATGAGCAGAATCAGATAACAGGTTCACTTTCACACCTTAGATGGAGCGGTCAAATAGCCCATGTATGTTTCTATGCAAAAGACCTTGAGTGCTAGGCATTCATCTCTGAACCTCAGTCAAAGCTTCCTATGAGAGAGAATGCCTCACTGCGGCTCCCAGGCCGGCTGTATTCAGATGCCTGGGCATGGTCCAACCATGGGCTCAGGTTGAGCAGAATCATGACTTAACGATAAATATCCCAGGGGTCAGCTGACCTTCTGAAGTGTCAAACATGATATTAAAGGATCGATATGGGAAAGGAAAAATGTCACTAGGATGTGATTTTTCATTTAGTTCAGAGAGCTATTTCTTCTGCTCATTTTTCTTTCCTGAATGGAGTCATAGATATAAATCTAACCAAATATACAATTTTCATTGTCCTCTTAATCATTGGCAAACTATATCTACACTTCTGGAGCATCCGGGAAGCTAGCCCATACCAGTGCTATCTTTGGAGCCAGGTGGTAACTGTGGATGTGAGCAAATGACAGTTAGATCTACAAGTCTCCAAGACCATGACCACTGGCCTGGGAGGACCTGCAGGGTTTGCATGTCCTCACACCTGGATGAAGAACATCTTGATCCTTGTCCTTTTGATGCCCTTCAATTACTAGGCCACACTCCAAAAAACCTAGTCCTCACTCCTCTCCTTTGCTAGACAGACCCTCTCACTCACAGCTCTTCCTCATGGACATTTCCTGTGAATCATTTCTCCAGGCTTACACACACTCTGCATGTCACAGTATGTGACAGAGGGAACTGATGTTTAAACAATTACCCATTGATTAGGTTGTTCTGAGTCCTAAGTTTAATTGTCCTTCTACAATAGAGTCAGCTAGAAAAATAAGAAACGCGAAGAGGTGTAAAATTATTAGTGCGTGAAAATGGTAAGCTATGAACTGGGATCATGAAGTAATAATAGTAATAATAATAATAATAATAATAATAATAATAATAATAATAATACCCAGAACCGGCCGGGACTCTGGGCCATTGTTAATCCGAGATCCCAGAGCCCTCTCTAGGATCGCTATTGCGCACGTGCCCCCTCTTGTGGTCAACTCCGCCAAGACACCTGGTGTTTTTTCCCGGTAGGTACTTGACAGTGTCATTCCTAGTGAATAAAGTAAGTCTTTTTTGCATATTCTCAAACACGCTTTCTTGTTTGTTTGCTTGCTTGTTCATGATGCCTAAAACAATCATAAATGGTTTTCAGGCACTATCCAAGACTGTGGAAACATAAGCGAGTGGTGGGTAGCTTTCAGTTAGATGTTAATACCTATGAATTGGGATTTCCTCATGTCTGGTTTCCAAGTGTTGTGGAGGCCACACAATATGTTGCTGTCCAACGCTCTCTAGTTAGCAATAGAGTGACCGTAAGTTTATCAGACTTGAGGCCCACAGCGGCTCAGTCAGTGATTTCTTACTCCACTCTTTCGTTGTTCCCTCAGTCGGAATCTGTGGGCAGTTTCCACCATGTCTGTGCCTCTGGCCTCTCTCAGCTCCCCTGCAGTGCTGGGAGTCAGGGCTGATGGCTGCACAGAGAGAGGTCTTCGTATTATCAGCTCTGGCTAGAGCTCAAGTTCAGAGCAGGACAGTGCCCTCCAGATGATTATAGAGCAGAAAGACTGCCTCTTCTGTCTTCTCTAAATGGAGTACATTCTAGATTTTTATGAAATATTTGCATTCCAGTATTTATGGAATGATTTAAATTATTTTTCAAAACTGTATTGGAAGCTGTGTCTGAAGGCGAGGAGCAATGCTTCTTTTTTTTTTTTTTTTTGAAACAGAGTTTCCCTCTTGTTGCCCATGCTAATGGCTAGACTGCAATGGCATCGTCTTGACAGTCTGCAACCTCCGCCTCTGGGGTTCAAGCTATTCTCCTGCCTCAGCCTCCCAAATTGCTGGGATTACAGGCGGAGCAATGCTTTTGAAAATGGCTTTGCTCTCTGGTTCCACACAAGGCACTGAAGCCTGCGGAATTTAGGGCTTCACGTGGATTCGAGGGTCCCAGGCTGCCACCTCATCACTCAGCCTCCTTTTCTTGCCCAGTGCTCTGTGTTCTTTCTCTGGTCAGGAAATTCTCACACATTTTGGTCTAAAATGGAAGGAGTGTTGCTTCTTTCACCTGAGGATCAATCAATTTACAATTTTTGAGACAATAATTTACACTTAATTAAATCAAATCACGTTCATCATATTTGTCTAGAAATGATTTTATTCTTTTTATTTATTACAAATTGCCTCATGGCCTGACCAAACTTCCAGTGGATCACTTGCAAGAGCAAATTTAACTGTCAAATTTACCGTTACATTCATCCATTGAGTTATTGGTTTGAATTACTTTATATTTGACATTTGTTTGATTTCTTTTTATAGTTTCTTGTTCTCTGCTAAAATTCTTGATCTTGTCATAGAATGCATTCAGCATATAATATACTATTGTCCCAATATCCGCAAATTATTTTGGTCCCTTTCTGTTGCCTGTTTTTTTTCTCTCCATTTTGTATGTTTGGGTATTGTTGATTGAAATCACACTATGTTTAATACACTTAATATCTATGTAGATTTAAACTGATACTTGCCCTACAACATTTTAGAAGCAAGTTTGGGCTCTGGAATAATTTTCACACTCCAGAGAGGATTTACTTCTTATTCTGCCAGAATGAAATGCTAGGGCTGTACCAAGTTAATGCCATCAAAGGACTGCAGTACTTTGGGCCTGGGTATCAGCACGGTGGTGCCTTGCTACTCCTGGTGCAACCTCCTCCCGGTATGTTTCCCTAGCAAGATTTCACCTCAAGACCTCGGTATGTGTCAGGATCCCTCCTTTTCTGCAGTCGTTCGGGACAGTTTTTCACCTGTGGCCATATGAGAGTTTTTTAAAGCTCTGATGGACTCCGAGGCCCCTTGGCCCCTCCTTTCTTTCAGATTTTCAGGACTGGGCCTCTATTTCTGAGCCTGCTTATGTCTCAAGGGACACTGAAGGCACAAAACTAGTGCTCCCCTGTCTATGCTTCCCTGCTTTTCTTGTCTCCTTGAAGACCTGCTGGGTTGTAATGTTTAATGCCCCATCATGGAGGTAGATGGGCCGGTTCCCTAATTAATAATTATTAAGTTGAGGCCAAGAAAACTTGAGAGAGTGTTTATTGTTCCCACGAAGGATGCCTGTGTGGGGTGGGCACGAGCTGGTGCAGACCTGCCTGAAGAGGCAGAGTTTAGGCTTTTAGAGTTGGTAAGGGGAGAGAGTGAGAGAATGTTCTCCCTGTGAGCTGGAGGGTTGTGGGGAATTTCCTACCAGTGCTTATAGAGATATGGGCAGAGAAAAAAGGAGGAGGGGCTTGGAGGATGTCAGGGATAAAACATCAAAAGTAATCAGACTCTCAGACATGGTGATGCTCTAATGCCTTCAAACACGTTTTCATATTTTATTCAGCTTTTTTTAGGTGTACCCAGAAGGTTGGTTCCACATAAGCCGTTCCACCATTTTACAGAAGTGGAAGTTGCAAAACAATTTTTAAATTATGAAATGGTTCAAATTTAAAAATATGGTGAGAAATATTATATATATAATTACCGGGTGGAGCAAAATAATGATAAATAATGTTATCAAATGTTTACTATTTATAAACATTTTAAAAACATCTATTCAACTCTTATAATACCGTATGATGTAGCTATTCCTTTATTTTTTATTATTACAGATGGGAAAACCAAGCAAAGAAAGTTTAAGTAACGTCCTGAAAGTCACACAGCTGTTAAGTGGATGAGCCCAAATTCCCATCAAATGTGTGTGGTTTCGGTTCCTGTCTTTCATCATGGGATAAAGTAGTATCCAAAGGCCCTTTCTGAGGGGTTCATTAGATTTCCCACTTAGATGTCAGTCATTTTGACAAGAGAAAGGAGTGGATTGGTGTCCTCTCGCTGTCCAGAGTTCTCACACCGTGACAGGCAAGCTCCTATGTTGTTGACAGTAACAGTACGCTGCATCTTCAGCCTCCAGGCTGCTGATGGAGGGGATGAAATCAGTCCACCCACTGTCACTAATCCTGGCAAGGACAGCAAGGTGCAGGTCATAATTACTATAAATAGTAAGATTCAGAGCCTGACCTGGTTTTTGTTGGCTCCAATTCAGGCAGCTACAAATATCGTCACAGCTTCTCAGCTGATGGTGGCCTTTCAACTTCTCTCAGGAAGCTTTGTCTGGAAGTTTTGTAAGTTTGGGCACGATAATGTTCCCGTTGACAACTGAAATGAAAAAAAAATCACATGAGAAATGGTGATGTAATTGAGGTTAAATACATCACACTTCATGGTCTTCTCAGGTCACTCAAGTGTGTGAGTTCCCCGTGAGAAGTCACAATTCACAGATGCAAAAAAGCCCTCAGAACTCATCTTACAATGAGAAGAAAGGCTGTTTCCTCATCATGTGGGAGCCTCATAATTTCAGCTCCTAACTGTGAGCAAGGCATCTGTCTCAGACCAATTCCACTGAGTCAGGGTGAAGTCAGACAGGCGCATACACAGTAAGAATCGCAGGATACTAAACTGGGTTCTGCCAATACCAGGCTGAGTCACTGCTCAGCCCTAACTGATCAAGCTGTTTTTGGAGACCAGAGCCTGAGTCAGCACAGTGATTACTGTGACATCTAATTCAGAAATAGAACACAAACACATCAAATATTTTTCTGAAAATATAAGTGTTATGAAATGATATTTCCTAAGCTATCAAATATCTTAAGAAATATTTCCTTTATTTCTAATGCTTGTCCTTACTTCATGATATGCACAATTTCCCCACTCCAACCAGTATGTATTCTATTTAGATCATAAGATACGATTAGTGGTTATGTTTATGTTTGCCACTCAATATCAGCGGTATAGTACTCCAAAATCTCAAATTGCTAGAAAAGCATTGTATAAAATGTTTAAGTGAAGTGATAATTCACAAATAAACATGAATTTCAGATTTGTAAAAAGAAATGAAAACACAAATGTCCTAGTAAAGCAGGATAAAATACACTTTTCTACACACAGAGTAAAGGATAAAAATTATAAAGGGAAATATAGTTGCACATATAAGCAATTTTTAAAAATCAACTGCCATCGGCTGTGCAAACCTCAGTCCCATCAACTCTCTCACTGAAATATTTCTCAGGTTTATCTCTCTATCCCCTCCAACATCTCGATAACCACAAGGAGCCTTAAGAATGATGTTGCTCATGTTCTAATCTCTCATTGTCTAGTTTGATAAGTTATGTTGACAACTGCACAATAAGAGTGATAAGATCAAAAGACTATTGAAGACATTTCAAATGGAAAAACTAAAAGTCAGTATCTCTCATAAATACAGACAAACATTCAAAAAAAAAAGGGAAGATTTACCTCTATCTCTCTCAGATAATCTGCCATGCCCAACTTGAATATATTTCAGAAGTGCAAGGTTATTATAACATTACATAATCAATCCATATAATGCATCACACTGACAGAATTAAGAACAATAACTTTTATTATCTCAATAGTAGCTGAAAATCACTTGAAAGAAGTCAACAGCTATTCATAATAAAACTCTCAGCAAGCCTGGGATAATGAAAAACACCTTATTCTGATAAAGCATCTACAAATGATCCATCTTTAGAATTACTGAGGTTTAAAATTATTGAGAAGTCGTACAGGCAATTCTACAGCAAACATCTTAGTGATAAAATATTAAACATTTCACTTCTCAAATTATAAAAAATACTGAACCATCCACTATATGAAATCATAATGGAGGTCCTAAGACATGCAAAAATTCAAAACAAATAAACAAACAAAACCCATGGAGTATGGAAATGAATAAGCAAAACATTTGTATTTGCTGAAAAAATTTGTACATAAGTTCTTAAAGAATCTAAAACTTAATCACTAGAAATAGGTCTCTGCATACAATGTGGATTAAAGGAGATATAAATAAATAGCATTTTCTGTTCATAGAACAGAAGATTTGATATTGTTAAGAGTTAATGGATGCAGCACACCAACATGGCACATGTATAAATATGTAACAAACCTGCACGTTGTGCACATGTACCATAAAACTTAAAGTATAATACAAAAAAAGATTTCAGTTTTCTCCAATTTGATATATAGACTCAATGCAGTCCAATTAAAATCCCCAAAGGAATTTTTGAAATTGAAAAGGTGATTCTACAATTTACGTGGAAATTCAAAGGATGTAGAATAGCCAAGAAAATCTTAAGTCTAAAAATCTGGTATTATGTCTTCTGACTTTTTTTTCTTTATAATAAAGCCACAGTAATTAAGACTGTACTGTAAGCACAGAGATAGACAAAGAGTCAAGAAAAATATTATTTTTACACAATCATGAGATTTTTAAACACAGGCAATAGAGTGAGGTATATGTTTTCAATTGTTTTTTGTTTTGTTGTGTTTTGCTCTATTTTTGCAAGAAATGGTGAGGAGTTGTTGAGTATGAAAATAAAAATAAATAAAACAAGATATCAAAATAAAATTCTTGATCCACCTCACCCCAGGCAAAAAACATGAATTAGAGATAGACTGTAGCCTATATGTGAGAGGTAAAATAACGATGCTTCTTCAAGAAAGCATAGGAGCATATCTTTAAGCCCTTTGGTGGTAAAAATTTATTAAACAGAGGACACACGTAAATACACAAAACAAACACAGGAGAAAAAAATGACAAGTAAAATGACAAATTAGATTACATTATAATTAAGAACTTCTAATCGCATCAATGTGTATGATTAATATAACATTACACACACAGACACTCACACACACGATTTGAACAGGAACTTCCCTAAAGATATGCAAACAGCCAATGAAAATAAATATATGAAAAGTGACTCAAGATCATTACCTATTAAGGAAGTATAAATTTTAATCATGATACAACTTCAGATTTATCAGTACAGATGTTTTGTGTTGGATATGTATAGTGGAACTTTGACATAATTGACTCCATCTCAGATAAAGACTGCATTATATGTTTCATAGGGCAGCTTGCCAACAAGAATAAAATGTTTTGCCTACAAAATAAAAAAAATAAAGGCTGCATCCAACCAGATAAGGTCACAAGCAAGCACAGTCTTGCACTATGAGTTCTCACCAGAGGACTCTGTGACCATGAAAGTGCGGGCTGTCAGTATCTCAAAAGGGCCATCTTAATTCACAACCATCCCGTTGTCATTTGTGATAAGAACTCCTCATCTGCCTAAGAAGGCTCTGACACATCAGAGACTCTTCCTTGCAAGGACCAAGGGACCTTCAGGCCAGACCAGGATTCTTTTTGTCTTCTTCACTACCCCTGGATTGATTTGATAACTCTTTCTCCTATTTTTTTTCTTTTGGTGTTAAATGTTGCATTGTGTAAACTTTAACTTATAATGTTTATGTATTGATTAAGAATACTATTATGTATGGTTTGCAATATTGACCGGCTTGTGCAATGGTTTTAGCCTGTGTGCCCGCAACACTGACAATCGAATGGCTCCTTGGGAGCTCCATGTAGCTTGCAGCTTCTGTGTTGGAAATAGCATCAGTAAAAGTCTGACATTGTGGAAAGACATAAACACGCATGGGCCTGGTTAACTCTGACCTTGGAGCGCACATGACAGGGTAGATCTATGCAAACTTGACCCCA
Organism: Homo sapiens; assembly: GCF_000001405.40. Lineage (NCBI taxonomy): Eukaryota > Metazoa > Chordata > Mammalia > Primates > Hominidae > Homo > Homo sapiens. The sequence continues at coordinate 320,782 of NW_012132915.1, forward strand.
ATGCCTGAGGAAGCTGAAAGGCTGAAGAAAGAGGCTGACACATCCAGTT